>NC_000010.11:54385519-54537034 GCF_000001405.40 Homo sapiens
CTATGGCAGTGCCTATCGTAGAAAAACAAATAAGCTTAAGTTTGATAATTAAAGCAGCAAAAATGTAATTAACTAAAGAGTACTCAAATATTCAAAGTTTTCTGATAGGCTTATCATTTGAGAGGTTAATCCAGCCAAACAAATTTAATTTAAAGTACTCTCTAACTGCAAATGAAGTAAACTTTCTAAGTCATATTCCTTTTCAATAGCACAAGTACTTGCCCTTTTTAAAAAATCAAATAAACTAACTAAATTAAATAAGATTCTTTCAGGTATTTTCTAAAGGTCATTTTATTCATTTGGTCTGTAAGATGATGAAAATCATTTTACACATTGAAGAAGCTATTTCAAAGCCTGACGAAGTACTTTACTTTCAAAAATATTTTCTAATAATCATTGCATAAATGTTTCACCTCCTTGGTTAAATTGATTCCTTTGTGTTTTATTCTTTTTGATGCTATTGTAAACTGAACTATTCTCTTAATGTCTTTTTTAGCTTATTACTTGTTAGGTATACAAGTACAACTGATTTTTGTGCATTGGTTTTGTATCCTACTACTTTGCTGAATTTAGTTATTAGTTGTGTGTGTGTGTGTGTGTGTGTGTGTGTGTGTGTGTGTGTGTAGACTCTTTAGGGCAGGGATGTCCAATATTTTGGCTTCCCTAGGCCACAGTGAAAGAAGAATTGTTTTGGGCCACACAGGTAATACACTAACACTAGCGACAGCTGATAGCTGATGAGTTACAAAAAAAAAAAAATCCCAAAAAATAATCTTATGCTGTTTTCAGAAAGTTTATAAATTTTTGTTGGGCCACATTCAAAGTTGTCCTAGGCTGCATGTGGCCTGCGGATCATAGGTTGGACAAGCTTGCTTTAGGGTTTTCTATATGCAGTGTATTTAAGAAAGAGGAAGATTGTTTAACTTCATATAATAATAATCAGATACTTGAATATGTTTTATTATTTATACATAATATTATTCAAATATTAATCAGAGAACCACCTGAAAGTGATTATCTACTTTCTCAACATAACTTTTTCCCACTATAAACATTCATTGTTATGCAGAATATATAAAGAACTTCTGAAATCCAACGAAAAACAAATGATCTGATTGAAAAGTGTGTAAAGAACTTGAATCAATAGTTTTTCAAAGAAGATATACAAATAATCAATAAACACACAGAAAGATGGTGAACATCACTAATCATTGGGGAAATAAAAATGAAAGCTACAATAATAAACCACCTCACATTCATTAGGATGGCTACTAGACAAAAAACCTAAAAAATAGCAAGTGTTGGCGAGGATGTGGAGAAATTGAAACACTACAATGTTGGTTGGAAAGTAAGGTGGTGCAGCCCAAAATTTCAGTTACACAAAAGAAACAAGTTCAAGAGATTAATTTTACATCCCAGTAACTATAGTTAATAACAATATATTGTACACTTGAAAATTGCTAAGAGAGTAGATTTTAAGTGTTGTCTGTACAAGAAGTGAGGTAATACATATGTTAGTTGGCTTGATTTAACCATTCTACAATGCATACACATATCAAATATCATGTTTTACAAAAGAAATATATACAATTTTTATTAATAAATTGAAAGTTTAAAATAAAATCATATGGAAATTGTGGAAAACAAATGTTTCCTCAAAAATTAAAAACAGTATTACCACGTGATTCAGCCATTTTACTTCTGAGTATATACTCAAAAGACTTGAAAGCAGTCTCTGGAAGAGGTACTTACATACCCATGTTCCTGGCAGCATCATTCACAATAGCTAAAACTTGGAAGCAAATTAAGCATCCATCCATGGATAAATCAATAAACAAAATGTAGTATATACACAAAAGGAATATTATTCAGCCTTGAAAAAGAAGGAAATTCTGACACATGCTACAACATGGATCAACAGTGAGGCTGGTATGCTAAGTTAAATAAGCCACTCATGAAAAAACAAATATGGCATGATTATACTTGAAACTGACCCAATACTTCCATATATTTTTTAATAAACATAGATGTGTACTCTTCTGATCTGAAAGTTTGAAATTTACCAAATGATCTTCAGGCCTCTCAAAGTATCAAAAAACTCACCATATCACCACATCCAGACAATGAGATGCAGGATCCCTCATTCATTATGCTTGCTTCCTTGCCCCTCTGTAATTCCTGTTTCTTGCACATTATTGCATTTCTTCCCTGCTATATAAACCCCTAGTTTTAGTCAGTGAGGGAGATAAATTTGAGACAGCTCCCATCTCCTCGGCAGTATCACCTGATTAAAGCCTTCTTCCTTGGCAATATTCATCGTCTCAGTGATTGAGTTTGTGTGGCAAACAGCAGGACCTAGACCAAATCCCTGGTGTTTTGGTAACACACTTATATGGGGTACTTAAAGTAGTCAAAATCATTGACAAAGTAGGTTGTTACCAAGGACTTGGGGAGGGAGTAATGGGGAGTTATTGATTAATGGTATAGAGTTTTAGTTTTACAAGATGAATACAGTTCTGGAAATGGATAGTGGTAATGGCTGCACAACTGTATGAATATACTTAATACCACTGAACTGTACACTCAGATATGTTTACATCTGTTCCTCTTGCTTCACTTGTCCTTATCGTATTTGCTACAAGGCATTAGGATCAATTATCCCCCACAAGTATGGAAAGTCTTTTCTCTGTTCAAACGTTCATCAGCATGAAGGGTCCAAAAATGGCCAGAGGACAATCTGAGCTTCCAATTAGTCAGAACAATAGTTGAGTTTCGTTGTCAAAGCGTTCAACTTCTGGTCCTAGAACCCAAATGTCACCCAGCTGAAGGTCACAGACAAGAAAGCCAAAATTATTCACGAAGATCATTAAGTAAGATAGGAAGAGAGATCACTTTCATCTTCACTTCAAGTTGCCCAGGCTCTGTTATGTCATGCCATCTCCTGCATAGCTATTCAGGAGAGGGCATGCCTTCGTGACCTCTAATTTAAAGCATACGCCACATACTGTAAGAGAATGACCAAACCTCATAGAAGTTCATCTTCTACTAGCCGTTATCTGAGAATTAAGAATTCTATCCCACCATCTTCTTCTGCTAGCTGCTTCTGAATGGTAGGCATTGTAGTAACATTATTGGATTAAGCTGTGGTGTGAGCTCTTTGCTATGATCCTTCACCTTAAAATAAAATAAATCACCTTGTTGGAAATGAGGTTGTATGTCCACCAGATAATGATCAAAAGCATTGGAAAGACGTTCTCTGAGCACATGAATGTTGTTTCAGGTAGAAGGTCTACAGACAACACAAATCCATACTGAATCATATTTATCCATATAAGGACCCTCCTCCATGATAAAAGTGGGTTTAATGCCACTGGTCAGTGAGCTGGTTCCCTGAGGAATGATACCATAATAGGGATTCAGATTTGGGTTCTATTACTGGCACATTGAGTATCAGCAACAGAAGTAACCAGATTAGCCTTAGTAATGCTATCTTCTTGAGCCCACATATTAATCCCATTTAGGTCACTATGAGCACTTTACACACAGGGTCATTTATTTATCCCTATTGAGACCAGGAAGCCCATTCTGTTACAGCGTCCCTCACTGACATCCCTAATCTACAGAGGAAAAAAAAACAAAACAAAACAAAAAAAAACTGTAGGGCTCTTCAAGGAAGCCAGATGCCCTTTTACCAATATACTTGTTAAATCTTGCTGAAGTGCATGTCCTCTGGTTATCTTAGAAGTGTATAGATAAAGGCTGGTTTATCAGATTACACATGAAGATAAATTCATTGCACATTTCCATCACTCTGAACTTTTAAACTCCTCTAAAATAGGGCTTCTCAATTTTAATGTGCCCATGAATCACCTAGAGATCTTGTTAGAATTATAACTTATGATTTAGTAGATATAGAGTAGGAGGGTAGAGCCGTCTAGTTGATGCTGCTTGTCTGTGTGTCTCACTTTATGAAAGCAGGCTTTATCACAATGTTTCTAAAGTGTGGTCCCCTGACATAAGTATCATCTTCACACGAGAACTTGTTCGAAATCCGTATTTGCGGCTCCATCCCAAACTATTGCATTAGAAACTCAGAGATCCCATTTCAGCAATCTGTGTTTAAATAGCCATCCATGAGGCTGGGAATGGTGGCTCACGCCTGTAATCCCAGCACTTTGGGAGGCCGAGGCGGGTGGATCACTTGAAGTCAGGAGTTCAAAACCAGCCTGGCAAACATGGTGAAACACCATCTCTAATAAAAATACAAAAAAAAAAAAAAAAAATTAACCAGGCATGGTGGTGGGCGCCTGTAATCCCAGCTACTTGGGAGGCTAAGGGAAGAAAATCTCTGGAGCCCAGGAGGCAGAGGTTGCAGATCGTGCCATTGCACTCCAGCCTGGGCGACAGAGTGAGACTCCGTCTTAAAATAAAATAAAATAAAATAGCCATCCATATCATTCTGATGCTTGTTGAAATTTGAGAACCTTGTTTTATAATGTGCTGTAAAAGTTCAGACATTTTGACTTCATTAACTATAAGCTATTATTGAGACTTGGTTTCAGTTAGCCAATCTAGCAGACTATTAACGCCACTTTTCATTGTGGTAGCCAAAACATCACACCCTGAATTCAGGGTGAATGCATTCATGCAAAAGAATTCAGCTTCAGCAAGTTTTGTATTTTGTTGTCCATTGTCTAACGTCTTTAGAATTCACTCCCATGCATGATTTCTAGCTCCCTGCCAATAGTGACAATGACCTATACCTTTTGTTTTGTTTTGTTTTGTTTTGTTTTGAGACAGTCTCGTTCTGTCGCCCAGGCTGGAGTGCAGTGGTGCGATCTCGGCTCCCTGCAACCTCTGCCTCTGGGGTTCACGCCATTCTTCTGCCTCAGCCTCCTGAGGAGCTGGGACTACAGCTGCCCACCACCACGCCCGGCTAATTTTTTTGTATGTTTTTAGTAGAGACAGGGTTTCACCATGTTAGCCAGGATGATCTCTATCTCCTGACCTCGTGGTCCACCCACCTCGGACTCCCAAAGTGCTGGGATTACAGGCGTGAGCCACCGTGCCCAGCCAACCTATACCTGTTTTGTAGTATAGGCTATCTTGTTTTAAAAAAGATCTTATATTCCTGTCTTGACTAAAAGCTAACATTTCTTATGGCCCTAGAATCAATGAGAGATGGTATAAGTGGGTCATGAAAAGAATTGACATTAGCTCTTGAGGAAACTGTCCAAATATAGTTACTGTAAGGCTATTAGGCAGAAGAGGACTAGAGAAAGTGAGAGGGTCTATGTTCACTAGCCAGAAAGTTCATGAAATTGAGATATTCAATGTTTTCACCATTATCATTTTCCCATCTCATGTCTCAATGTCCCTTTTCTTCCCCAGTGCCAATTTTCAGTGCCTTTTCTATAGGTTAAGAGGATCAAAAGGGTTGAGAGTTCCAAGTATGTTGCATCTCTGCAACACTTATAATCATAAAAAGATGGGCTCCTTCAAAGCTGCCCTGATGACCTTCTGTTTCCCCATGTGCTCTTATTGCATTTTATACCTGTTAGTTTACATTTTCCCTATATACATTCTCAAGTATATAGAGAATATACACTTGGTTGTCATGAGAAACCAAATGTAATAATAATTACAACTATTGCTACAGTGAGTAATTGCTGCAGCCACTTGATCATCCAATACTCTATACCTGCACTCATCCCATGCCACCACAGGTGTCATTTGAGTAATTGTGATGCCACACCTGGCAAAAATTAGCCACATGCTATGTGAATCTCCCACCTCCACGAAAGGAGTTTATGCATGGATCCTTAATATGCACACTCCAATCCAAGAATCTCATTTTGAGTTATTTTTTTTTTCTTAGAGACAAGTCAAGCACCAATTACTATAATACTTGGTGTACCAGCAAGAAAATGTCACCCTCAAATTTAGATAAACCAATGTGTTTTTAGTAAAGGAAAGCTTAAGAGAGGTGTGAGTAGGGTATAGGGGAACTATAAGAGGTAATGTCATACACTGACAAACAAGGAATACAGAAGAAAAATTTCATCAGGAAAAAAAAAAAACAACATAATCTAATGGGGAAATGTCATATAACATGAGCCATGTTTAGAAAAGAAGGCAGCCAGCTTGGAGAGAACCTATGCAACACATACCTGGCTATTATTTACCTCTTTCCCTTCATATTCTCCTTTCTTTGCCCATTTGTGGAAGCCAACTGAATGTCAGATGGCTCAGGAGCCTTCTGATGCAATCCATGCATCTCTGAGAAGGTGAAGAGTGGATGTAAAAGGCAAACAGATGTATCTGCACATTACCTCCTCAAGGCATTGTCTTCTGAATTGGTCTTGTCAAGAGAATCTCAATCAACAATGGGATATAGATTCGGGAGAAATTGAGAGGAAATTTATGAGTTAAAGCTTAAGTGATTGGCTTAGGAAAGCAAGTGCCATATAGTGTGAGGCATAATAACACTGTGGTACTGGACATTGTTTAGTTGTAGTTTCCTTTATGTGTCTGTATAAAATCAACTTTTAGTTATATAATTTGCTCTATAGTACAGGTACTTTGTTTCAATCTCTCTCTTTCCACTATAAGAATTGCATACACATTTGAAAGCTAGTTTAATTTAAAAAAAAGTACTAATTTGGCCGGGCATGGCGGCTTACACCTGTAATCACAACACTTTGGGAGGCTGAGGCAGGTGGATCTCCTGAGGCCAGGAGTTCAAGGTCAGTCTGGTCAACATGGCGAAACCCATCTGTACTTAAAATACAAAAAAATTTGGTAGGCATGGTGGTGGGCGCCTGTGATCCCAGCTACTTGGGAGGCTGAGGCAGAAAAATCACTTGAACCCAGGAGGACTATGTTGCAGTCAGGCTAGATTGTGCCACTGCACTCCAGCCTGGCTTGGGTGACAGAGTGAGGCTGTCTCAAAAAAAAAAAAAAAAAAAAAAAAAGAAATGTATTAATTTATTAGCTTTTATTGTGAGTAATGAAAGATTATACTTCTGTCCTTAGATCATATTGATAGTATTTATAACGTTACATAATTCTATATTTTGCTCCAAAAAAAAATCTGTGGCCAGGCACGCTGGCTCATGCTTGTAATCCCAGCACTTTGGGAGGCTGAGGTGGGAGGATCACTTAAGGTCAGGAGTTTGAGACCAGCCTGGCCAACATAGTGAAACCCTGTCTCTACTAAAAATACAAAAATTAGCTGGGCATGGTGGTGCGTTCCTGTAGTCTCAGATACTCGAGAGTCTGAGGCAGAAAAATCGCTTGAACCCTGGAAGTGGAGGTTGTAGTGAGCCGTGATTATGCCACTGAACTCCAGTCTGGGCGACAGAGCAAGACTCAGGCTCAAAAAAAAAAAAAAAAAAAATTGCATTGCTGCAACATGAGAAAGCTGCTCCTCTAGTCAGAGTATGGCTAAGGGAAGTACATCATAACTTTTAATCACTGATATGTGATTAAAATTTTAAAGTTTTGATAACATTTTAATTAATGATTTAAGATGTTTGGCTAATTTCCATCTGAATTTAGATTCAAGCACTTTGCAAGCCTGTTTTAATCTCTATGCTTAAAAAATCTACATATTAATAAAATCAGCCTTACTACATACAAGCTGTCAACAAACTCTGTTCTAAACACAGTGGTGGTATGAAGTCAAGTACCTTTCTAGCTAATGGTAGTCAGCTTACACAGTTGTTCAATGGGGCAACACAATCATATCTCCAACTGTTACAGAGATTGAAATGATTATCATCTGAACTACTGCACTTGTGGCAAAGTTTTCTTTCTCAAGAAGGTTTTTGGTAAAATACAGATCTATCAACAGGAGATACCATTACATTTTTAGCACTTACCATATCATTTGCAGAGGGATAGACTCAGAATATGATAGTTGCCATGAAAAATAGTGAACAGTAAAAACTGAACTAAATGGAATATAGAACACAAGTATTGGAATGGGAGGCAAACGTTAAGAGGAAGAGATATGGGAAAATATATCAACTCATTATTCAAGCTTATTTAAGCTTCATTTACATCACAAAAAGTTTCCATTCACAACCTTTTCAAATAAAACTGAAAGGTTTCCATGATATTTTAAAAATATAATCTGTATTTTATCTTAACAAGAACTTGGAACAATATTCTATCCACCATTCCTGATCCAAACAAGTGCCCAATCTTCATCTATCTTGCCTCATATTTTCAGTATAAAGAGCCCATTCACTTTTTAGGGAAAAAAGACACAAATAACACAATGGCACAATTGTTAAGTTTCTCATTATATACAACCCTATAGCTAATAATGCACATGTCATTTCCATTTCTAGGTTGACTAATTTTGATGGGCAGAAGTGCTCTAAAGTATGCTTTTATAAACCTCATATCACGTGGTACTCCATGGCTGAAACATGGCTTAATGCATGTTTTAGGATGGTGAAGGAAGGAGAGAAGGGAAAAAGAAAAGACGAAGAAAAGAAGAAAGAAAAAGGAAGGTGAAGGAAAGAAAGAGAGATGAAGAAAGAAAATGAAAATATGACCATGTTATAAAGAAAATTGAAAACATATAATTATTTTTTCTTAATTTTAGCCTGTGTAGAAACTCTTAAGGCTGATGATGAGATAGATATTTTTTGCCATAAATTACATGAATCTATTCATTTTTACATTCTTATTATATAGCATTAGAATATGTTGCATTATATGTAGACTCCTTAGAAGATACACGTAAATAAAATTATCGGGGAACCTGCCCCGATATTCATGTAGGTTCTTTTCTGTTTTTCCTAAGCATCTGCCAGCTTGAGAAGTAAAGGGACAGAGTACAAAAGAGAAAAATTTTAAACCTGGGCGTCCAGGGGAGACATCACATGTCGGTACGTTCCGTGATGCCCCACAAGCCACAAAAACCAGCAAGTTTTTATTAGGGAGTTTCAAAAGGGGAGGGAGTGTGCGAATAGGTGTGGGTCACAGACATCAAGTACTTTACAAGGTAATAGAATATCACAAGGCAAGTGGAGGCAGGGCAAGATCACAGGACCGCAGGACCGAGGTGAAATTAAAATTGCTAATGAAGTTTCGGGCACCATTGTCATTGATAACATCTTATCAGGAGACAGGGTTTTGAGATCAACTGGTCTGACCAAAATTTATTAGGCAGGAATTTCCTCTTCCTAATAAGCCTGGGAGCGCTATGGAAGACTGGGGTCTATTTCATCCCTGCAGCCTCAACCCTAAGAGGCAGGCGCACCTGGGGGCGCTGTTTATAAGCCTATACCTCCAGGTGGGTATTCTCTTTCCCAGGAATGTTTCATGCTGAGAAAAAGAATTCAGTGATATTTCTCCCATTTGCTTTTGAAAGAAGAGAAATATGGCTCTGTTCTGCCCAGCTCACCGGTGGTCAGAGTTTAAGGTTATCTCTCTTATTCCCCGAACAATTGCTGTTATCCTGTTCTTTTTTCGAGGTGCCCACATTTCATATTGCTCAAACACACATGCTGTACAATTTGTGCAGTTAATGCAATTATTACAGGGTCCTGAGGCTGTAATTACATCCTCCTCAGCTGACAGGATTAAGAGATTAAAGTAAAGACAGGCATAGGAAATCACAAGGGTATTCATTGGGGAAGTGATAAGTGTCCATGAAATCTTTACAATTTATGTTTAGAGACTGCAGTAAAGACAGGCATAAGAAATTATAAAAGTATTAATTTGGGGAACTAATAAATGTCCATGAAATCTTCACAATCTACGTTCTTCTGCCATGGCTTCAGCAGGTCCCTCCGTTTGGGGTCCCTGACTTCCCGCAACATAAAATAAAAAAAAAAAAAGATGCTTTCAACTTAGTGACTATTATTCCTGTCTATCTCTATGTGCATGTATTACACACACACACACACACACCCACATTAAGAACCCACTAAATATTGTTAAGTTCTTGGAAAATATGACCTTAAGTGAAATGACATACAATAGGTCCTTGAATAACATAGTCATTTAGATATAATTATAATACGCAAAAAATGGATTTTGTTATGCATCGTTTTGATTAAAGTCACAGTTTCCAAGAACCTACTGATGACATTAAGTTTATACACACACAAACATGCACACACACAAACACACACACACACCTACACACACAAAGGTAGTTATACACAATATACTGACTGCCTTATAAGAATGTTTTTTCTATCTTGTAATAATACATGAGTACCACATTTTTCAATGCATTTAATCATGCTGTATCTGAGAATGTGACTTATTAAGTCCCATAAATATATCTAATACATTTTAGAGTATAAATGTTCAATGTATTATTGTAGATATAATATGAAACTGTGCATGGGAGTGGAGTGAGGAATAATTGAAGAAAAGGCTCTTGCTGAACCAATTTACCTATGGGAGATCAGAATATGCCACCCCAATTTAGGATGGTTTGGCATAAGGTTTGTTGAGCTGAAGGCAATTAAGAAGCAGATGAAGAAAAGCTCTCTGCCTCTATTTACCTAAAAGGACGATATACATTTACAAAGACAAAAAATATCCCCCTTCCCCTCTAAACCGGGGAGGACAAATGTTATCCACTGAAGAGAACTTTAGACTGTTATGGGCCTGGAGATGGCACCAGAGGAATCTACATTAACAAGCTTTACTTAGCCTTTATCTGCCTTTTCTTTGCCTTGCCTCAAGTTGCTGTCTTTAGAAATTCAAAATCCTTTTCCTTTGTCATGTCGCTTCCCTAAAACTTTACTGTTCTTTGTTGAACAATGCGTTATATAAGCTGAAATTCAAACTCACCTCCTTGGCGGCTACTCATTCCCTTGCTGTCTTCCATGTATATATGAAATACACGTCAATAAACTTCTCTGGCTTTTCTCTTGTTAATCTCTCTTTTGGTCCATGGGTCCATTCCAACTAATACTTTATCAGAATTGAGGAAAAAAATATTATTCCTCTTCCAAATAGCTATTTAGTATTTTCTGGCTGACAGAGCAAGTGTCTTGACAGAGAACTCACATTTCATTCTCTTTCCAACACTCTTCTTTTGATACACTTTAATTATAATCCTTAAAAATCAGTCTCTGTGTTAGAAGTTGACATGATATATGAAGGAAAAGGGCCACTTTTTAATTCTGGAAGTTAATGCAATAACATAAAGTAGAAAAATAGCATATTTTGAAATATATTTCATGTCAAACACAGACATATCCTTCTAAAATGCAGCATCAGGAAATACTTAGGCATAATAACAAAAGTTCAAACTATGATTTCAAAACAGAGAATTTGACAATTCAAGTATGGATATGATAAGCCTTTATTCTGATTTTTTTCCAAATATTCCGACAGTGGAAAATGTTCAAACAAAATTTGAAGGAGGAGGACTGTGTACTATCTTATTTTCCCTCAATATTTTTCTTATATACTTTAAAGTAATTTTATTCTGCAATATTGTGTCGAACTATGAATTTCTCAACCATTGTTTCTGAATTGCAATAAAGTCAAACCGAGCAAGATGGCTTTAATATTGCCCTCATCTTGACGAAACTTTAAACACTTTTCTTCCTGACTGCATGTCCTGACCTTTATTTTCTTAGAGTGTTTACTTCAGAAAATTTTCCATTGTAAATTCTTCCTATGACTCTTTGAGATGTAAATAGTCTCCCAGCCACTTGTGAGTTTTATAACCCAGGGATGTCTTAAAAAACTTGGAGACATCCCTTTGAAATATTGTTATCCAGAAAGATATTTTCCCAGTCTCCCAGTTTGTATGGATAATAGGAGCCTAAATTCCATAAGCAACAATTAAACAATTAAATGTGGTCCAAACTCAGGGAACAACCTTCCCTTCACTTCCTCCAATGCTTTTCCACTAAAATTTTCTTGCATTGTGTTTCAAAAGAACTGAGTTCAATTTCTATCCACTATTGCAATAGCCTTGAATAAAGTCTTGCCTGTTTAACTCTATCTGGTATAATTTTTCTTCAAGAGAACCTTAATTAGTCAAGTTCTATTTTGGCAATGGGATTCATATTGGAACTTAATTTTATATTATAAAAATGGATAAATAATCACAAACATAAAATATGAATATATGTTTCCAACAACATTGTGTGCATCAAACCAGGCACTAAATGGCAAAGGTATAAATAATCATAATAACAACTTTTGTGGTGATAGAGTTTTTTCTAGATGCACTAGATATGCTGATATTCTTAAAATAAAAATTCTTACATATTAGCCAAAAGATACTTCTGCCAGACAAATGTTTTATTCATTATTACAAGGATTCTAGACCTTTTAAAATTAAGATATTCTGTTTCAAAGTCAATGTACAAATTCCCCTAAGTTCTTAAAAAATAGGGGCAGGTTTCATGGTGACCTGTTCAAAGATCTATTGCTGAGATAGATTTTAGTAAATCAATTTGGTTCACTATCCCAGTTGGTCACAAATATGAGTTTTTGTTATTACTTCAATTATCTTATTCATTGCTTACTCAAAATACCTTTTAAGTCTTATCCCATGCAGAGATCAGATGGTAAGGTTTTTAAAGTAACTATATGACTATCAGACTTATTTCCATGTAACTTGCTTTATTTTTGCCTGTCTTTAAGATTTTATTACATAAAAAGTAATAAAAATTAATTTTAATGTATTCCTAAAATTTCAAAATCTTGCTTGTTTAAAAAAAAATTAGTCTTAATTAAAAAAACACTATGGAAGAAAATAAGCCTTTAAGTGATCTATATTATCCTAATGATGTTGTTATGTTACTTAAATCAAAATTTGTGAAAAAAATAGGTTCACACTTCTGAATCTCAAATAAACTTTATAGATCAAAAATTACCACCAAAGGTGCTCAGAAACAATGACTAAAATTTCCATCTCTAGCAATTTTTTATATAACAAAATTGTCCTAACAATACTAGCTAATAAATTAGAGTTTGGTTACAAAATGAACCATGATAAAATCTATCACAGCAGGAAAATTTTAGAAAAGGTCAAGACCACTTATGTGATCTTACCTTCAATTTTAGACCAAGGAAAGTTTGTAAGTGAAATTTAACCCTTCAAAAATGCCCCCCAACATAGTATCTTATTCTTGTGCAACCTGGAAAAACAAAAAAAACTGATATTAGAACCTAGGTTATTTTATTTGCTGCTGGATTATTTGCTTATTTGTTGTTTTAAATCAGAAAAAAAACCCCAAATATTCTGGTAGCCTAGAAATAATCAATAGCCTTGCAGACAACCAAGTATCCGGGTTGCCTTATGAACTAAGCATAGGATAGAATTAAACTAGACACTGCTAAAATGAATGGACAATTTTTAGTGGTATGTATACAAACCTTAAAGTTCAAATAATGTAAATGGCCGACATCAAACATATTTTCTAAACTATAGAATTTTACACCAAACAGTATGTTCTGCCACAGTAAACTGTCTCTGGCTTTCTTAAAAGTGATTTATTTTATACTGCAAATTATTCTGTCATGTCCACTTGGCATATATGTGTTCCTTTCTGATTTTCTCAACAACTCTCTCTTAGAAGGAAAGCATTTTCTTTTTAGAAACCATTTTGAATACATAATCACATACATGTAACAGAACATTTAAAAAGAAACTGTTTCAGCCAAAACTATGCTACCTACTCTCAGTGAAGAGAGTTGCAGACAACTTTTGTAGGACATGGAAAAGAAGCCACTGAAGTTCAGTGTGTAACATTTATATGATTAAATATAATATAAATATAAATAATATAATGATTAAAGATGGGAGGCTCAGGTAGCTTGGACACTGAGGATTTGGGAGGAAAGCAATATTACAGTGTGATAATTGCAAGTTATCAACAAAGAGTCATCAGACTTCTTGCATTTCTCCATAAGCTTGATGACAAGAACATCAGGTGGGTTTCTCTGAAAAGAACTAAATTTACAGAAGTTAGAGAATTTAGAGAAATTAGTTGAAGGGTGTCTGACTTTCACTTGACAATTTTAAAGGGTGAAAGTCTAAATGAAGAACTTTTGCAGATTAATGGTCTGCGGTTAGGAAATAACTGTATTCCAACTAGAGATGAGTCTCAAGTGAGTATTTCCCACCAGCAAATGTGGGCCATGCAAGAGAGTAGACAAGAAGGAGATGATCTCAAGCCCAGCCCAAGAGAATCACCATGAGGAATGAGGAGACCTCAGCAGTAAGACGCTGGGCTGTGCAGCCACATCCGCGGGAACAGCAAAAGTTAGTGACCAGAAGACAAATTCTCCAGCCATCCCAGGAATTGCCAGAAACAGCTATCCAAATTTGGAGGTCTCCAAAGAATCTGCCTACGTGGTTCACAATCTCAGGAGTTGCCAAAATCAGACCTAGAGAGTACAGCAATGCACCCTTTCTTTTCTTTTTACCTCTAATGCTTTTTCCAGGGTCAAACCTGGAGGAGATGAAAATCAGTATTTAGTAAGTTGAAGAAACAGAGATGAATAAGGCAGAGAGAGAGCAAGGTTGTTGACACCCAGGTTCTAAGGCAGCTGGGATGCCTACAAAAGGATATCCAAGCGGAAAAAAATTGAAGTAGATTTCTAGCCAAACTTAGAAGTCCTCTGTGTCTAATGTATTTCAGAGTAGGAGATAAAGTATTTGTTGGATTAGCACATTAGCAAAATTATCTAGAGAAAGGAATACATGTGTAATGTCCAATAAAAGCCAGTGATTCTCCAATTGAACATAAAATGGACTAAGTTGATAAGAAATGTGGGGCTCTTTCAACAAATAGTTTAAAATCAAAATCATGAAGGTGGATAAAATATTTCTTTACCCCCAGAAAATAAACGGATAAAGCTACTTCTACTATCTTTGTTATTTTTCACTCTACTAGCCCTAATTATTTCATTACTAACTTATCATCAATTGAAAGTTATAAAATGCATGTTTCCATCATGATACTATGTCATATATATTTTAAAAGATGGTTATAAAAGTCATCTGTCATTATTAAATTAAATTTTGAGTCAATATATATTTGTATTGGGCTATGAATATGCATAAGAAATTAATATTCTGAATAATATGTACTCTTTCAGTGCCCTGGAAAAGACAATAGGAGCCTGATACAATTTGTCATTCTTGCACAGTGACAGTTAATCGAAAATTATTAATTCATTATCAAAGTATCATTTCCATGACAAAGACGAGAGGAAAACATGCAGACTGTGTCCAGATTTCTTCCAGATATCTACCAGCAAAATATCACCAAAATTAAACAATGAAAGATAGACGAAAAGAGAAAAAAGCCAGAGGGAGAGGAGAGAGAAAGAGAGAGAATGATTATGTTTTACATAAAAAACAGTAAATTGAATTCCTTACTTGATTTTTATAGGTATTGTTCATCTAGTTTGTAGTAAAGGGAACATAGCTATAGACAGGAAACTGTCATTGTTGAGAATTTGGAGCTTAAAAGTATTCAGTAATTTTAAATGCAGGACATGTATTTTCGAAACCATTCATAATTAAGAAATTAAAAAGATTTTAGTAACATTTGTGAAAAACAGAAAGAAAATTATTTAAAAGTCTTTGCTCTTCAGAGATAGTGCCTGGCTCTTGTAGATTCCTTTCACCTCTACACTATGCTAAAACCTGGCTTTGTCTAAAAACAACTTTAGCTATAGATGGTCACTTTCTGTAAAGGCTTTTCTTTGTTATTGTCATAGCATTACAGAATATTGATGACTTCAATATCACCTACACAGAAAAACTGTATATGACTTTTGGAAAAAAAATGAGAGATTTAGGGCAAGCAAAGTTATGCTGTTGTAGATTCAAAAAAAAAATTGACATTTTAGGTTAAGTATATTTTCAATGTTTCAATTATAACTGTAAATCTATAAATGCTGGTAGAGGTAACCTCATTAGAAATAACTCCTTATTCTAAGAGCAAAGAGAAACCTGAAATGCTAAAATGGATACTCATTCTTAATAGGATCAAGAAACACCAAATACCCGTCAAATATCCGAAGATTATATTCAATGACTCTGAACAAGGAAAAAAGCAAAAAATTAAGTGAAACATGAATGAAAGAAATTACAGAAATCTAAACAAAGGTATAATCTATATTAATGGATTGTAAAACTCAGTAGCTTAAGGATGCTAAAATCTCCTCATGTAATGTCAATAAAAATTTCATCAATTTTGAATAAATTGAAGAATTAAGTCTAAAACATATACAATTCAAATTACAAAGTATATGCCCATAATTTATGACTTTACTGCTTAATTCTACCAGCATATAAAGAAGAACACATCTTAAACAAACTATTACAAAAAATAATAGGAAACACATACTATTTTGGTTTTTGATGCTAGCATAACCCTGATAACAAACCTGACAAAAATACATCAAAGAATAAAAAGTACACATGAATATCCTCATTAACACAGATACAAAAATACTTAATGAATTTATTTAGAAAATAAATCAAATCCAGCAATCTATAAAATAATGCATTATGACCAAGTTGGTTTTACCAAGAATGCATGGTTGGTTTAATGTATAAAATACATAAAATCTTATTAACAGAGTGAGGGAAAAAAACATAACTCAAACAACACAGAAAATTCATGTATCAAAAGTAAACGTGTTCAAGATAAAAAATATTAAGCAAATTAGGAATAGAAAGTAACTTCCTCAATCTGATAAGCAAAATATTTACATTAAAGAAAACAGAACTAAATTAAAGCTGACGGGAAGAAGAAGGCAAGATTATACAATCTTATAATTTCTATTCATCATGGTAGTTGGAATTCCTAGCCACTGAAATAAAGCAAGGATCAATGACATATATTAACAACAAAGAAGAACTATGCTCCTATTTAGAAACAGCATGATCGTTTATGTATAAAATATTAAATACAGATAGGCCACCTTTTATTGCTTTCTTTATTAGTTTATTGAACTCCATAAATACGGCATTTTTTTAAAAGTTTGAAGATTTGTGGCAGTCCTTCAAATAAATAGCAAATTTATTAGCCATTTTTTCCATGTGCTCACATCATGTCTGTGTGTCACAGTTTGGTAATTCATGCAATATTTCAAATTTTTTCATTGTTATATCTGTTATGATTATCTGTAATCAGTGGTTTTTACTATTAATTACTATTATAATTATTTTGGGATGCCGCAAACCATTCCCACATTACATTGAACTTAATTCATGAAATGTTTTGTGTGTTCTGATTGCTCCACCTACTGGCCATTCTCCCATCTTTCTCCATCTCTTCAGGCCTCTGTATTCCTTAAGACACAACAATATTAAAATTAGACCAATTAATAACCCTACAATGGCTTCTAAGGGTTCAAGTGAAAGAGTTGCACATCTCTCACCTTAAATCAAAAACTAGAAATTATTGAGCTTAATGAGGAAGGCATGTTGTAACCAAGATAGGCTGAACGCTAGACATCGTGCATCCAACAGTTAGCCAAGCTATGAATTCAAAGAAAAACTTCTTAAGGGAAACTAAAAGTGCTATTCTAGTGAATGCACAAATGATAAGAAAGCCAAAAAACCTTATTGGTGATAAGTAGAAAGTTTGAGTGATCTGAATAGAAGATCAAACAAGACACAATATTTTCTTAAGCCAAAACAAAATCCAGAGCAAGGACCTAGCTCTCTACATAGCTATGAAGGCTGAGAGAGGTGAGGAAGCCACAGAAGAAAAATTGGAATCTTGTAGATGTTGGTTCATAAGGCTTAAGGAAATAAGCCATCTCCATAACACAAAAGTACAAGGTAAAGCAGCAACCACATGATTACATCAATAGATGCAGGAAAGGCTTTCGATAAAATTCAACACACATTCATGTCAAAAACTCTCAAAAAAGTTAGGTATTGAAGGAATAGACCTTGAACTAATAAGAGCCATATATGAAAAACTCACAGCCAACATTATACTGAATTGGCAAAAGCTGGAGTATTTCCCTTGAAAACCGGCACAGGACAAAGATACCCCCTATCACCACTCCTATTCAACATAGTATTGGAAGTTCTGGCCAGAGCACTCAGGCAAGGGAAAGAAAAAGGGGCATCCAAATAGGAAGAGAGGAAGTCAAACTACCCCTGCTAGCACAAGACATGAACTTATATTCAGAAACCCTCAAAATCTAGGCCCATAAGATCCTTAAATTGATAAACAACTTCAGCAAGTCTCAGGATACAAAATCAACGTACAAAAATCACTAGCACTCCTGGACACCAATAACATTCAAGGATCCAAATCAGGAAATCAATCCCATTCATAACTGCCACACACTCACACACACACACACAAACACACACACAAACACACACACACCTAGAAATATAATTAAACAGGAAGGTGAAAGATCTCTACCAAAGAACTACAAAACACTACTTAAAGAAATCAGAGATGATACAAACAAATGGAAAACATTCCATGCTAGTGAATAGAAAGTATTATTTTTGCTAAAATACCTATAATATCCAAAGTAATTCATAGATTCAATGTTATTTCTATTAAACTACCAATGACATTCTTCACAGAACTAGAAAAGGCTATTTTAATATTCATATTATAAATATTCATATTTATTAATGATAAAATATTCTATTTTAATATTAATATTCAGGCCCCAAAAAAGGACCTGAATAGCCAAGGCATTCCTAAGCAAAAAATACAGAGCTGGAAGCATCTGGCTACCCAACTTCAAATTATACTACAGGGCTACAGTAACCAAAACAGCATGGTACTGGTACAAAAACATGCACATAGACCAATGGAATAGAACAGAGAACCCAGAAACAAGGTCACATGCCTCCAACTATCTGATCTTTGACAAAGCTGACAAAAACAATCAATGGGGAAAGGACTCCCTATTTAGTAAATGTGTAGGGAGAACTGACAAGCCATATGCAGAAGATTAAAACTAGACCCCTTCCTTATACCATATACAAAAATGAACTCAAGATGCATTAAAGACTTAAATGTAAAACCAAAAACTATAAAAACCCATTTCTCTGGACACAGGAACAGGCAAAGATGGCATGACCAAGATGCCAAAAGCAACTGCAACAAAAGTAGAATTTGACAAACGGGATCTAATTAAGCTAAACAGGTTCTGTACAACAAAAGAAACCATCAACAGAGTGAACAGACAAACCTACAGAATGGGAGAAAATTCTTACAAACTATGCATTTGACAAAGGTCTAATATTCAGCAACTAAAAGGAATTTAAGCAAATTTTTAAGGAAAAAAACCATTAAAAAGTGGGCAAAGGACATGAATAGACACTTTTCAAAACAAAACATACATATGAGCAACAAGCGTATGGAAAAAAATCTCAACATCCCTAATCATTAGAGAAATCCAAGTCAAAACCACAATAAGATACCATCTCGCACCAGTCAAAATGGCTATTATTACAATTAAAAAAGTCAAAAAATAGCAGATGCCAGTGAGGTTGCAGAAAAAAAGCAATGCTTATACACTGCTGGTGGGAGTGGAAATTAGTCCAACCACTGTGGAAGAGAGTGTGGTGATTCCTCACGGACCTGAGAACAGAAATACCATCCGACCCTGCAATCCCATTACTGAGTTTATACCTGAGGGAATAAAAATTGCTCTATCACAAAGATACATGCATGTAAATGTTCATTGTGTCACTATTCACAGTAGCAAAGACATGGAATCAACTTAAATGCCCATCAATGGTTGAATGGATAAAGAAAATGTGGTACATAAACCAAACTTGGAATGCGGTACATTCCATGTGTACCACATGGAATACTATGCAGCCATATAAAGGATGAGATCATGTCTTTTGCACGAACATGGATAGAGCTGGAGGTAGTTATCCTTGGCAAACAAATGCAGGAACAGAAAACCAAATACTGTATGTTCTCACTTATAAGTGGGATATTAATGATGATAACATGTGGACACATAGAGGGGAACAAAACACACTGAGGCCTATTGAAGGGTGGAGGGTGGGAGGAGGGTGAGGATCAGGAAGAATAACTAGTAGGTACTAGGCTTAATGTCTGAGTGATGAAATAATCTGTACAACCAACCCCCATGACACAAGTTTACCTACATAACAAACATGGACATGTACTCCTGAACATAAAATAAAAGTTAAATTAAAAAAAAAAACTAAAAATTACATGCAATATTTGTAGTGGTACAAATATATTTATGTAACTGTAAAAAAGAGAGATGTATAAGAATATATACAAAATGTAATAATGGTTACTTCCAAACAATACATGAAGGCTAGAAGTTGAGGTGTTTTTTTTTTAATCTGTAAGGTTTTAATTCTTTTAAAAAAGAAAAAGTATTAGTGTATTGTTTCACAATTTTTAAAAAATGTACAAGAATGTTCTTATTTCTACCATATTGGTCTGCTTCTTTGTATTTTTTCTGGCCCAACCCAAATCAGTCTTTTCAAAGTTTATCTACATTGGTTAGAGATGGAGCCTTATAGAACATTGAATTAAAGGCAGACATCCAAACAGTTATTGTATGGAACAGATCTGCGTACTAAATATGAATGTGTGTATTGTGTGTGGGCTTATAGTATTAACAATACACATTATGTCTTTTTGTTTTTTATGTGTATTGTCTGTGTACCTGTGAATTTCAGTATTCGTGAGCTATGCATTAATGTATACCACAGTTAAATAAATGAATTAGTTGCAGAAAAAGGAAGATCAAAGTTGGAAGGCTTTATCTATCTGATTTTAAGATGTACTAAAAAGCCACAGAAATAAATAAATAAATGAATAAATAAATAAATAAATGGACTAGAATAGGTAGGAATTAGTCAACTTTATCCTTAAGGGCCAGATATTAAATATTTCAGGCCTTGTGGGACACATATGAGGTGTCTGTCACTTTTTGCCCCTCTTCCTCCTCCTTTCTCCTCTTCTGCCTCTTTTTCTACCTCTTATTTTGACAATACTTTAAAGATGCCAAAATTGTTATTAGATTGTGAGCCACATAAAAACAGCCCAGGAGTCATAATTTGGCAATTTTTGGAACAAAGGCAAAAAACAGAACCGCAGTAGCCTTTCCACTAACACTTCACAGGAATTTGATGGATCAGGAAAAACCTTTGTAACACATGATGCTAGGACAACTGGGTATCCATATGAAAAACAAAAGTTAACCTTAACCCCTACCTCCTAACAAACACGAAATTAATCAAAGAAGGAGCAAACGTAAGAGTAAAAGGCCAAACTACAAAGTATTTAGAAGAAAACAGGGGATTATCTTCATAACCTGCTATGAAACAACACAGTAAGAAACAACCATAAAAGACAACTTTAATATATTAGAGTTTCTTAAAAATTTAAAACTTTTATTCTTCAAAAGATACCTCTACATTAATTATAAACTGGAAGAAAAATATTTGCAGAACTTGTGTCTAACAAACACTTGTATGCCAAATACACAAAACTCTATGACAACTCAATAACATAAGGACAAATTTTAAAGTGGACAAAACACTTGAAAGAAACTTCCTGAAGGAATGTGCATGAATAAGTAATAATTACATGAAGTGCTCAATATCCACTGATAAAAATTTCTTAAATAGGCAAAATGAATCTATAGTGATAGAAAACAAATCAGTGGTTGCTTGGGGAAAAGGATGGAGAAAATTGATTGGAAAAGAGTACCTGGGAACTCTTTAGAGTATTTAAATGTTTTATACCTTGTCAGAGTGGCAGTTACATGTGTGTATATACTTTTCAAAGCTGTATAGTTAACGTTGGTATATTTCATTGATTTCAATGTAGGTAAATCTAACCTCAAATATCCATAAATATAATAATCATATGGAAGGTCACTTCCAAATTGGTGGAGGAATAGTTGAAAAAATAGTCTAATATTATCATTTTTTAATCTGGATAATGGCTCCAGGATAGTTTGTTATGGCATTCAATTTATTCTGTATATGACTGAAATTTTAAAACTCTTAAGCTAAAAAGCATTTGTCACATGTTTTTGCTGAAATATTGGTTCCTTGTAATTTCTCACTTAATTCAAGCAGACATCTAAAGGTGATTTATTTTCCACCCAGAAAACTAAGAGTACAAGGATTCACTTGTGTCCACAAGGGAATCAAGTGATCCAGGAGAACGTGCTTCACTATTTTTTGCTTTTCCTGACCCTTAAACAGCTTCTAATTCCTCTTGCTAAAAAAGGAAAAGGGATGGCTGGGCGTGGTGGCTCCCACCTATAATCCCAGCACTTTGGGAGGATAAGGCGGGTGGATCACTTGAGGTCAGGAGTTCCAGACCAGCCTGGCCAATATGGCAATACCTCGTCTCTACTAAAAATATACAAATTAGTCGGGGTGGTGGCTCACTCTCGTAATCCCAGCTACTAGGGTGGCTGAGGCATGAGAATCACTTGAACCCGGGAGGTGGAGGTTGCAGTGAGTGGAGATCATGTCCCTGAACTCCAGCCTGGGTGACAGAATGAGACTCTGTCAAAAAAAAAAAAAAAAAAGGAAAAGGAAGCAAAGAAAATAGAAAAGTTACTTCCTCTAAGGTAACCCTAGGAGTTTTCTTCACTATATTTAGGAACATAATTAGCTGTTTTTTTAAAAAAAAAAAATTGATGCATGCTTGCTTTCTCTCTATATAGAACTATATTTTGCAGAAGTGTTAATGATGTTTTGAAGGTGACAATGTTATCCCACAACATATAATTTCCTCTCTTAAAAGTACTATCTTTGAAATGGGCTCACATAATATGTAAATATATGGGGATAAATGTATAGTCTCATTACAAACTATAAGAATTATTCCATATATGTAAAATATGAACTACTATAATTGGGTGTAAAACCAAGGTTGTAAATTTAATTTTAATAATTTGCCTATAATATTTATCAGTCCAAAGTGATTTGAAAAGAAAATCTATTAACATGTTTTACAATATTCTTACATTATTTCTATCATTATGTATGAGACAAATCATGATGTGACAGCATGTGACAAGTGTAGCAGATGCTGTGGATCAGCTTACACAAAACTTATTCCAACTACCTCCTTTGCACATGTTTCTGAACCGCATAACTGAGAAGCTAAAATTATACTTAAAGGATTCAATTGCAGCTATGATTCTATGTATGATTGGGGTTACTCTGACAAGATTATTTTTTATATAAGACATTGTTCAGAATGTACTATGAAGGGGACAGGTGTTACACTTTTTGCAGTTACAAATCGGGGTGGAAGTGCTGTGGTTCTGGTGTTAGCTGTGGTTCTGTAGTTGGCAATGTTGGCATCAGCTTTCTGGAACCAGGCATCTGGATCATGGGAAAGGCAGCATTTCCTAGGTGATATGGCTTGGCTATGTCCCCACTAAAATCTCATCTCAAATTGTAGCTCCCATAATTCCCTCATGTTGTGAGAGGGACCCAGTGGGAGATAATTGAATCATGGGGGCAGTTTCTCCCACAGTATTCTCATGGTAGTGAATAAGTCTCATGAGCTCTGATGGTTTTATAAGGGGAAACCCCTTTCACCTGGCTCTCATTGCCTTGTCTGCCACCATGTGAGACATGTATTTTGCGTTTTGCCATGATTGTAAGGCCTCCCCAGCCAGGTGGACCTGTGAGCCCATTAAACTTCTTTCTTTTGTAAATCGTCCAGTCTCAGGTATGTCTTTGTCAGCAGTGTGAAAATGGCCAAATATACTATAGCAGATCAGTTATGTTGTGGTTTTGCATCTCATTCCTGGCAGGTCAAAACAGAATCTATTTCTTCCACCCTTTCAATCATATGTGAACTATTTATGCCACTTAATAAGTCCCTTCAGCTTGAAGAAGCTAGGGTATATTGTTTTTTGTAACTAATATCCCTAACTGATATTGCAGACTTCACATAAAAACATCCTGTTGAAGATGAGGAACTAGAAGATTCTTTCCCCAGGGACATATGATATTAAAAAAAAGCTACAGGTAGCTGGTCTTTACTGTGTACATTATCAACCTCTTACCCAAAATACTATAGTGGTATTCACTGCTATAACTATTTACAGTATATTCAGCTGTTTTCTTACAGTCTTAGCAAAACCATCTTCTCATCTGTTATGACTTGCATGTACCCCCCAAATTTTGTGTATTGGAAACTAAATGCCCAAACTCATATGTTGATGATATTTGGAGGTGGGGCCTTTGGAGGAGGTAATCAAGATTAGATAAGGTCTTTAGAGTTAGTCCCCCATGTTGAGACTGGTGGCTTTAGAAGAAAAGAAAGATGTGAGCTGACTTGGGTGCTCTTGCCCTCTCACTATGTGCTGCCCTCTCACCATGTATGATACAGCAATAAAACCCTCACCAGATGCCGATGCCATACTCTTGGACTTCCAAGCCTCCAGAACCATAAGAAATATTTTTTTTCTTTATTAATTACCCAGTCCACAGTATTCTGTTACAGCAACAGAAAAGCAATTAAGACACCATCTCACACCTGGTTTTGTCTATACCTTGTGAGAACCTCACAACTGTAATTCTTCTGTATAACACATCAATTAAAATAGAATCTAGACAAAATGTCAGTATTAAAACAATCAGGAAAACAGGGCTGGGTTGATAATAAGGCCACAATATTTGCTGCCTCTGAGAATTTGGGAAGGGATGGATTTGAAGAAGAAGTTTTCTGCTTGCATATCTAGTTCTTATTCATATGCACACAAGCCTAAGGGGAAAAATTCAGGCTCATCGTCCTTTTGATTGCTTAAAAGCATGTAGCAGCTTCCAATTTACCTTTCCTAAAGAACAAGTCAGGCTGCAGAAAGATCATGGTTTTGAATTCAGCCATGGCTTTTAATTTATTTCTTTTAGACTTTGCTTGACTGGAAAGCTCTGGAAGCTGGGGTTCAAAGGCAATTGTGTTTAAAGAAAATACTTAGTTGGGAATATTCTAACAGCAACTGATGGGTTTAATAATTCTTGTAGATACTATATAAAATTTTGAATAGCTAGTATTTAGGTAAATAATTGCAAAGAAACACTCTTCTTTTGGAATAAATTACATGGAGTCCTGTTGCTGTCTACTTGCAAATAATCTCATTCACGTTTTGATGAAACTCACAATGTACACATTTTCTGAGGAAAATGGAAACAGGAGGCCTCCTGAAGATACAATAAGATGATTATATTTATTTTCAAACCTTTAAGGAAAGCTCCTGCAAGTTAGGCTAAAATGTAAATTTTAGTGAGGATTCTATTAGAAGTTCCAAGGCAACAGTTACTTTCAAAAATGATAGACCCACTGTGAGCAAAAGAGAGAAGATAAGGACTCTGACCGAGCTGGCATTGTTGAATAAGGGGCCCTGATTTGCTGCTCAATAGCTGACTCTGCAGGTTTCAATTATAGGAATAGCTGGAATAATACTGCTCTACAATATTACTGGTAGAATTTGCAAAGAATTGATATATAGAGTTTAAGTATGTGTCTCTGTATGTGTGTTTGTGTGTGTGCATGTGCAGCACACAGACATGCATTATGAAAAGGGAGTTATTCAAGTAAAAAGCACCTGCCGCTACCATAACAGGTATGATCTAGGCTGACCCATGATGCTTGGGTGGGTGGTGGGACATTAAGAATAGAACATTTAACTACAGGCATGCTTATATTCCAGTTATATATAGGCCCACTGCACCTCTAAATTGTTGCACTAGAGTCTTTATTTTGGCTGGATTTAAAGGCCACTTCCCAAAATTTGTGCAGAATCTTTGTAGTTACATAATTAAAAATTGAAAGAATTTAAAAAATGACAACTGTAGTCTCACTGACTTTTTAAAATAAAATTAAAAGACCAGTATAACTGTAAGCCCTTGTTCAGAAAAATGTTAATTCCTTACGATCTAGACTCAGAATGTGGGGTTTGAATCACAATTCTATCAGTCACTAGCAATGTGATCCTGAGAAGATTACTTAGTCTCTCTGTCCCACAGTGCCTGGTTTATAAACTGGGAATAATATTTATTTTAAAGGATTAAATGATAAGCTACAGATATGTCTTTTTGCAGTGTGACTAGAAAATAGTAAACACGTAATAAGTGCTGGTTGCTGCTACCATAATGATCAGTGTATTTCTATATTGTTTATTTCTGGATATCAGTACTTTTGATATAAGACTAGACAGTGAATTCCTCAATTACAGGGGCTATGTCTCCAGTAAACAAGAAAATGCCTGTCACACAGCACTCACATTAAAAGCTTAGTTGAATTGATACAACTTGTCAGAGAGACTAATACTGAGGGCACGATGGCCTTATCATCAGCATATCCTCATTACTTTGACTAGATTATTTAATTTATTCTCTTTTACTCCTTCTTACTTCTACTTCAGTTAAAGGCAACTGGGGAGTATAGAAATTTGAATATTTAGCTTTTTGGGGCTATGTCCGTAGTTTATTCACTACTTAGGGTGACCTGTGCACATGCTAAATGATTAAAGAAGGCAAATTCTAGGATGGTAAGTAGAGAAATGTGCATTATAGATTGAAGGCATGTGATGGGCAAAAGAGCCTGAGGAACTGACAATAGATGGAGGAACTGACAATAGATGGAGGTCAGTAAACAAACTGAAAAACAAATGTAAGGGAAAACATCTGATAAAATTAAAAAATAAATATCTTATTTAAAAATATACATCTTCTTAAATATATATTTATATTTTAATATATATTTAAAATTATATATATGTTAAGTAAAACAGAAGTTACTAAAGGAACTTCCACCTTTGTATGTTTGCTTGAATATTACATCTTTAAAATAGCTTTTGCAAGAGATGTTTCACAAAAGAAGTTGATCTTACAGGTATTGTAGTTTTCTCTAAAATGCCTAAAGATTAATACTCCGCAAAGTATTTCAGTCAATTTCAAGTTGGGGAATTTGGATGACCAAGACATCTCTGTTCTCTCAATTCCTCAGAGGACATACACCGAAGTTAGTTGTGATAGTAGTTATTATGCCTATTAAGGGTGAGATCCTTCCAGGTTCTAACTTCTATTGTCCTCAAACACAGCACTCTGAAATTCTAGCATTAATGACTGTTACTGGCTACTTACAACAAGCAACTTCACTTGGATCTACCATCCAGTTTCCAAGCTACCAACATTACCTTGTTGCATTGTTTTTGTTGCTGTTGTTTCTTTTTTTGCGACAGAGTCTCGCTCTGTAGCCAGGGTGGAGGGCAGTGGCGTGACCCCGGCTCACTGCAATCTCCGCTTCCCTGGTTCAAGGGATTCTCCTGCCTCAGCCTCCTGAGTAGCTGGGATTAAAGGCATGAGCCACCACGCCTGGCCATTACATTGTTTATGTACAAGCTAGATGATAAGGACCAGGCAACACTTGTGCTATCATATTGCATGTGTGCAAGGCTACACAGCCTGTTGATGCACACAGGAGAGACTAAGAAAGGCAGACCTGGCCATGGCCTACCTACTTGCTTACTGAACTTTGTATTCCACGAAAGAAGGGAGCATGAACATATGTTTAGCAGGAAACTTAAAGTCTAGCAAATTTCCTGGCCCATAGTATTGTATTCTAGTTGTTTGTTAAATAAATGAATGGTCTGTATACAATATAGCATCTCTCTCTCTCTCAACGAATAGCAAAATTTTTTAATAGACAAGTAACGAAGGGCCTTCCAATTTAATGATAATAATACATGGTTGGCTATCTATTACAGCTCTTTGTGATTGTTGGTTTGTGAATCTGAAGGCACTATTTCTCAAAGTGAAGTCCAGGAACCACTTGATCAAAGGTCATCTGAGTTGCTGTTTAAAATTTCAGATTCCTGGGGTCACTTCCTGCATCTCCACCTCTGACAACAATATTCAGGAAACTATATAATCAACAGTCTACCAAGGTGATTTTATGTACACTACTATTTCAAAACCTTAGTGCTAGCTCATTCTCTAGGTGAACAAATGAAACAAGTATAAATATGATAAAAAGTAAGAGATCTATTGATCATATTTCTACATGAAGAGATTTTCTATTTCAGAAATTGAAGTAATCAGCTTTTTAAAAAAGCCTTTTTGGGAATCAATGTAAGTTTCATAATTCAGCCAGCTGACCAATAAATATTAAAAAATGTTTAACTTTCTTATATTTCATCATTTAAAAAAATGAGAAATTATTCCATAGTCTATGTCTGTCTGTATACATTATTCAGCTCCCACTTATAAGTGAGAACATGCGGTATTAGACTTTCTGTTTCTGAGTTATTTCACATACGATAATGGCCTACAATTGCAATAATAGACATTGGAGACTTAGAAGAATGGGAGGGTGGGAGGAGGGTACTGGATGAGAGACTGCTTAATGGGTACAATGTACACTATTTGGGTGATGATTACACTGGACATTTGGTAATCATCACCCAAATCATTACCCAAATAGTGTACGTTGTACCCATAAAGCAATCTCTCAGCCTCTCACTACTACACAATATATACATATGACAAAACAACACTTGTACCCCTTAAATTTACACAAATAAAACACTACAAAAGAAAATTGAAGAATGATCCTATTTATAATAGTGACATGAACTAATTTGAAACCATGTACTCATAGGAGATATAAGAAGAAACAATAACATGTCCTAGAAGGCCAAAAACTGAAGACTTGAATCAAATGAAAGACATATCATTATCTTGAATGAGAAGATTGAATATTACAAACGTGTTCATTTACTCGAATCTACAAACTTAACATTAATCTACAAAATTAACATAATTCCAATCAAACATTTTTGGAGGGTTTTGGACCTGGCATGTTTACATGACGGAATAAATGTGAATAATCACCAGGTAACTCTATAAAAAGAAAGTTATTAAGACAGAGTTCTCCTATAATGAATGACAAACATAATATTGGGCTACAGAACAGAAGTAGGTATACAAATATGGAAGAATATATTACATTTATTTTGAAATTAAATTTTTGATAAAGTTAGAATTTTCAGTCAGTGAATACTTGATACTTTATTTAAAACACAGTTGTCAACTTTTTACTATACGTCAGGCTATATGAAAATATTAACTGATTTAAGTCTCTTTACAATCTTACAAAGACTTACAAGTTAAAAATTTTAAATTTATAATTTTAGATACATGCCATTATCAGCATTATATAACACATGAGAAAACGAAGCCCAGAGAGTTTATGTCACTTGCTGAAAGCAACAGCAATAGTAAGTAGTAGAGCCAGGTTGTCTGAATGTTCTTTAATACCATGATATAAGATTTAGGCTGGCACTTGAAGAAAAAGAATTAAAATCATACTAGAGTTCTTATTTTAAAAGCAGATTAAAAATAGAATTTTATTTCATTTAAATGAACAACATAAAACCAGGAACGTATTAGAAAAAAAATTGGTAAGTATTTGCATCAATTGATGTGGTAAAACGTGAAATGTGATATCAAGTTACATAAAGGAAAAATATTCAACCAGAAATACCATTTCACATAGAAATGTTTAAAATGTTTCATATTTCACATAGAAATATTTAAAATCTATACCTCTAAAGTATTTATGAAAAAATTCAAAATATGATAAGAAAGTACATTGTGGTATATGTTTAAATTGTGGTAATATGTTTGTTTTTTTCCTATTGTCACAGCTTAATTATTGATAAGGTCTTTATCCACAAAAGGGGTTCAAACTGTGCAATACATTTTTGTCACACTAATTACAAAGGTTAGTATTACTATGAAACAAAAGTTTCAAGATCAATTAAAAAATATGGATGTTCCAAGAAAAATTGAAGAAATTTTTAAAAATAGTCAATAGTTTAAAAAAATCAGACAGAGAAGGAGGTAATAAAAAGAGAGAAGTACTAAAGTAAGTAACAAGAGAAGAAAAAAAGGTAGAAAGAAGAAAATAAATATTCCATGTTGTCAAGAAGGCAGGAGATTCTCAAATTTTAGCAATGGGATTATTTGAAAGTAATTTAGAAAATAGTTAAGTATTTATGCAAAATTATTTTAAATAATATTCACAGATGTGATATATGTGAAAAGAAAATAGTTGAACATAATCAAAAAAATTCAAAGATTATAAAATGTATTATTACAATCTATATACCACATATTATATTGGCCACTAGGGATGATATAAAGGTAAATTTAGTGTGACAGACAAACAATGAAAATATTAGAAATGGTAGAAAGGTGACTTTATTGACATAAACAAAAATGACAAAATGAGAAATAAAATGGGAAATGTTGTATGATCTCGATTGGGTAAAAGACAATTTATCTACATGTGATTTTCCCATACAAATCATTTGATCCAAATGGTATTTCCAATGACAACTGAAAATATAAAGTGAATTTAAGGAGGTGAATAGGTATAATATTTTTTAAAAAATCGACTTTTTTATTTTTTAAAGACAGGTTCTCACTTGGATGCCCAGGCTGGAGTGCAGTAGTGTGATCACAGCTCACTACAGCATTGACCTCCCTGGCGCAGGTGATTCTCCCACCTCAGCCTCCAGAGTAGCTGGGACTACAGGCACATGCCACCATGCCAAGCTAAATATATATATACACATAAAATTTTTAAAATTTTTACTTTAAGTTCTGGGATACATGTGCAAAACGTGCAGGTTTGTTACAGAAGTATACGTGTGCCATGGTGGTTTGCTGCACCTATTGACCCGTCCTTTAAGTTGCCTCTCCTAGCTCCCCACCCCCCAAAAGGCCCTGATGTGTGTTGTTCCCATCCCTGTGTCCACGTGTTCTCATTGTTCAACCCCCACTTATGAGTGAGAACATGCAGTGTTTGGTTTTCTGTTCCTGTGTTAGTTTGTTGGGCATGATATCTTCGAGCTTCATCCATGTCCCTGCAAAGGACATGATCTCATTCTTTTTTATGGCTGTGTAGTATTCCTTGGTGTATATGTACCACATTTTCATTAGCCAGTCTATCACTGATAGACATTTGGGTTTGTTCCATGACTTTGCTATTGTAAATAGTGCTGCAATAAACATACATGTGCATTTGTCTTTATAGTAGAATGATTTATATTCCTTTGGGTATATACCTAGTAATGATATTGTTGGGTCAAATGGTATTTCTGGTTCTAGATCCTTGATGAATCACCATACTGTCTTCCACAATGGCTGAACTAATTTACATTCCTAGCAGCAGTGTAAAAGTGTGCCTATTTCTCTACAGTCTCACAGGCACCTATTGTTTCTGACTTTTTAATAGTCGCTATTCTGACTGGCATGAGATGGTATCTCACTGTGGTCTTGATTTGCACTTCTCTAATGATCCCTGATGTTGAGCATTTTTTCATGTTTGTTGGCCATGTAGATGTCATCTTTTGAGAAGTGTCTGTTCATATCCTTTGCCCACTTTTTGATGGGGTTGTTTTTTTCTTGTAAATTTGTTTAAGCTCCTTGTGACTTCTGCATGTTAAGCCTTTGGCAGATGGGAGACTGCAAAAATTTTCTCCCATTAATATGTTTTTGTAGAGATGGGGTTTCACCATGTTTCCCAGGCTGGTCTGGAATTCCTGGGCTCAAGTGATCCACGCACCTTAGTCTCCCAAGGTGCTGGGATTACAGATGTGAGCTACCTCATCCAGCAACCAAAATTTTTTAGTGTTATTCGCCAATGCTGCTATTAAAGAATTACATTTCAGTTTACACTTACGTCGATCTACTTTAGGAATTTGTATACTGATTTGCATTTATCCAAATTGGAATTTTTTTTAAATACTGGGACTTTTCTCTCACAGAAGAGGTCTGAGATCTTAGTCTAGCATAAATGACGAAATGGGGAGTGATAGAATAGAAAACCAAGAGAAAAGAAGTTATTTAAGAGATTAAAAGAAATAATTATCTGACCCTTTCACATAGTCTTGGGTGCTGAATTGCAAATTCTGCTGTTTCTGCTGTGACAGAATAATAATAATTTTCTTTTCAATGATATAGAGATATTTAACAATGTTTACTATTTCATAGCACTAGCAAAACAGGAAAAAATGCTTGATGTAATAAAATTATTTCACCCGATTATTAATCAAATATAGAATGGGAGAATGTATATTAACATTATTTGTCTTTTGAAATAATATTATCACAAATATTAACAAACTTTGGATAGCTTTTTGATATCTTAATTCCTGATAATTGCTACTAATTCATTTCTAAGTAACAAGTACAATATAAATTCCAGATTTAAATTAAAAATATTTGATCATTCACAATGCTATGACTGTATTACATTTCAATATTTTACCTCGTGTTATTTTCTCCATAAATAGAGTGGTTATGGTTCACAGGTACACATGCTATTTGTTTATTTATTTCATTTTGTAGAGAGGGTCTTATTATTTTGCCCAGGCTAAAATGCAGTAGCTATTCAAAGGTGCAATAAAGTGCGTTACAGCTTCAAACTACTGGCCCGAAAAGATCTGGTTTAGCATTCTGAGTAGCTGGAATTGCAGGTGCCCAGCCACTGTGCCCAGCCACAATTGCCACTGTGCCCAGCCACAGTCAGCTTTTTCAAGAACTGTTTAAGATAACAGGTTAGGGAAAATCAGGATAATATTTTGAGGGGAAAGAAGGTAAAATCAATTAAGACAGGGTGCACAGAGTACTTGAATGGTACAGCTGATGTTTCATCCTTTGTACTAAATGGTGTGTATATGGGAATTGGTTATATTATTTTGACTGTTTGTAGTCATATTATGTACATATGTGTATACATAATTTAAAAATAAAAGACAAAAGTAATATAAGCTAAAATTATAGATATTAATATTAATTTTATTTAAATATAACAAAGATTTGCCAGTATTCAAATGTCTGCAATTATCCTTAAAATGCACAGAACCTATGTTTAGGTATAGTATCACTGTTCATCCAGCCTTCATTCACTCTAATCTACTCTTATCTAAAATTTGTAGTGTAAGTAAAATTACATTCGGTATGACAGAAGACAAATTACAGTATTAGAACATTATGGAAAATTGGCATAACATTGTACAATCACCCATAACTTTATTATTTATCATTTTGTAACTTTTTTATTATATTAGTCAAAAAATCTAACTGTACTTAATAGCTAATACATATATTATTTGATTTTTTAAAGACTATTATTAAAATAATAATAATTTGGGGGTGAGAAGGCCTATTGAAAAATGACCAACATATAAATCATAAATAAGTTTGATGCAACAAATATTTGTAAGTCTTATAGGTAAAAATATAAAAATTTATTCTAAACAAAGCTAAAAGACAATAATATGCATTGGGAAATATTTGCAACATTCACTTCAAGGGTTGATGTCCGTAGAGAATTTTTACAAATTAATAAACATTTAAAAAGTTGAGGAGTGGCAATAGCTATGAGAGATAATTTACAAACACATAAAAACCAATATTAAAACTGTTTAATCTGTAAGTACATCAATAAAAATTTTATTATAGTAGTTATTTTATCTATTAAATTAGAAAAGGTCAATACAACTGATAATCTCCCAAGGGAATATATGGGAGAAGCGCTTTCTCATACACTTATAATATATTGTTAGAATGCCATTAAATAAACATTTGGCAAAAATCTATATCCTCTGTCAAAACAATTTAAGTTCTAGATCTCTAGAATCCACATATACATATACATATATACATACACACACACACACACATTCACACCTATATATCAACAACTCAAATCCAACTCCAATTCTTTCATAAGCAGTATTTTGTCCAACAAACAAATTTATCTAAAATTCTTCTTGGCTTTTCTCCATTATAGAGCCAGCAATTTTGTGTAGCTCTACCTCTAATTCCTTCATTTGCATTTATTTCTGCTTTCAAGCCCTTATATGAGGCAAATGGGATTAATTTATTTCATTATCTTAACTAGATTCATTGCTTTAATTTGTCAAACTCTGATTGATTTGCTCAACTCAATCTTGTGTGTTCAAGAACTTAATGTGGATTTCTGTTCCACCTCATGAAAGTCTTTTCCAAAAACTTGCTAAATTCTTGACTCAAGACATTCCAGTTAGTAATGCATTTCTCTGCTCAAATACAATAGAAGTGTGCTCTAATAAATACTCTTCAACAATGTGCAGTTATTTCTCCCCAACTATCAATTCCCCTTAAAGCAGAATTTTACTAAAAATGGCTTTATCCTTCTGGGAATAATCAGTAAAATGGCAATTGGAGGGTGAATTTAAAATATACTAAAAGCAGATGGCAGAACATGAGTGCAGATTTTTACTACAAAGCTTAGGAAGAACAAAAGGAACCTGAATAGAGAAAATGCAGAAAAGCTCTCCCTGGGCTATTAGGATGTAGAGAGCAGAAGTATGTTTAGGAGCTTCAAAGAGTCTGTCTCTTTGCAACTGTTTATCTTAGGACTTTAAGGAAATAAAAGGTGCAAGTGAACCACTCTGGATTATAAAATAGAATTTCACACAGAAAAATCAACTCAGTTAATATGCATGTTGCTTACATGGAAATGTTGAGAAATTTTTAGCAAATAGAAAGTGGTAGATGGTAGGTATATATAAAATAATTGCAGAAAAAATGTGAAATGAAGATGTATGGTATTACTTTTATATTTAAATTGTTAATATGTTGCCCATAATGCTTTATTTCAAAGAATGAAAAACCGGAAAAATAGTTCCTTCCTAACTTCCCCTGCAGCCTTGTCTTGTGGAGCTTGTATTTTACTTCATGAGAAATGCCAAAGATATGTCATTTAAGCTGAAACCTCCAGCAGAATTAGCCAGAATATTTGGGAAAAAGATGTTTCCAGAAAAAGAGCTAGTATAAATGTCCTTAAGCAAGACGGAGCTCATGATGATTGAGGAACAACAACAACAAAAAGATTATTTCACCCAAGAAAAGTGAATTGGGAGTACAGATATAAATGATGAGATCTGAATACGATTCATGGAGCAGGTCAAACTAGGATGTTTGGGTGTGGTCTAAATGAATGGGTGGCATGAGTTGTTTTAAGGAGAGGAGTGACATGATTTGACAAGTTCTTAAGAGATCCCTTTGATTACTCTGGGGAGAATAGAACATAAAGTAGCAGAAATGAAAGCAAAGGGGAGATAGTGGGAAATAATTGCACATTTATAAGCAAGAGATGATGTTGGCTGGGACTCTGATTATAGCAACAGATGAAGAAAAAAGGAAATACTGAGAATAGTTGATTGGATTTGCTGACATTCTCAACATAAATGGAAATCAGTATTTTTTTCTAATAAATATGATATGCATAAATATTTTTAAATATTTAATTCTTTTACCACCAGTGGGGCATGAGTAGACTTCAGGAAACATGCCAGTACAGAACCATATAAATGTGATCATTGGTAGAGATAGGCTTTAATAGGCATTTGAATGTCTCCCTCAACCTGGAATACCACGAAAAAAGCTTTTCGCTTCGCATGTTGCATTATTATCATACCCTATAGCTTTCTACCATTTTCAGTTACTTAATATTATGTTTTGCCTCAATAAATAATAGTACTTTCTCTTATTGTATTGTATTGTATTTGCAGCAATTATTAGTGAAGTTTTACGTTTCAATATTACATCTAAAACAAAACAAAATTGTCCCATACTATTTTCCATTAAAACACGAGATCACTATGACAAAAAAAGCTAAAATGTCATGAAATGACTTAAATTGGATGAGAGTATATGAAATACATTAAGAAATAATCTCTGACTCTGTAGTTTTTTTATTTGTAGGTTTTACTAGAACATGAAATCAATATGTGAATCCTGGCTGGAGTTTGCATCTAAATGTAATAAAATAAAATGAAGTTTAATATTATCATTGAACCATTAGTGTACATTAGTGAGCTGGACTATATAAAATAAACTTTATTATATTTAGCATTTGATTTTTATTTATGTATATTATAAAATGAATATAGTTTATATTATAATAAAAATAAAAGAAGTAGTATGTTAACTAATTCGTATAAGATGCCTACAAACTACATACCTGCCTAAATTTTTGACCTGTGAAACTTCAATGGTTTGTGTTAGGGCCTACATTTATATATGTACATGTGTAGTGTATATATACATATATATATATATATATATATACACACACACACACACACTATATATATTTTTGTGTTATATATACACACTATATACACACTATATACACACTATATAGGTTTGTGTTAGGGCCTACATTTATATAGGTACATGTGTAGTGTGTGTATATATATATATATATATATACACACACACTATATATATATATATACACACACTATATATATATATACACACACACACTATATATATATATACACTATATATATATATACACTATATATATATATATAAAAATATATATATATATATTTAGGGAGGGCATTGTTAATCCTTTAATTTTAAAAATTTTAACTTTGCAGACAAAGTTGATTATACCTGTGGCAGAACAATGCATACAGCAATAAATAAATAAATAACTTTTATTTTCTGTGGAGCTCCCAGAATTATGAATTATTGGATAGATTGAGATTTGCCGAGGTCATTTTCTTAGAGTTGCAAGAGCATAGGAGAAAGTCAAGGGAAATAATAAGCAGCACTTGATTTCCTTTACCACAGAGGATGGGATTCTAAAACCAAATTATCTGACTATAAATCAAGACCTATCTTTTACAGGCTATGTGATTGTGGATGTTACCTCCTCTATGCTTCAATTTCCTCATCTGTAAAATGGAATTATAGCCTACCCTATTTTGTAGTATAGTGAGGATAAATTGAGTGAATGTATGTAGTTCCTAGAATAGAGCATGACACATGATAAGTGGTCAATAAAATATTGTTTACTACTAGTTATGTGACAGTCACTTCACACATAGTAATGATTTAATAAAGGAGCAAGAAGAATGTAGAGCACAGCTTCTCAACATCGGCACTACGACATTTTGGGTCAGACAATTATTTAATGCAGAGGGGGCCATAGGATGTTTAGCAGTGTCTCTGGCCAGTAGTGTACCTCCTCCTCTCCAAGTTTTGACAATTGCAAAGGCTTCCAGACATTGACAAATATTCCCTGAAAAGTAAAATTGTCCCGGCTTGAGAATCACAAATATAAAGTAACCACTCAAAGATTACATTACTAATTTTGATTGAATTTGACCAGCATTATGAAATCAACATAAGCTTAAGTTTCTACACTTGATTTTGTCATTGTCAGTTAGGGCAGCAGAGAACTCCAGTTCTGAAAATTCTGAGCATGTGCTAATAGCCTATAATATAATCAAAACTTTCATTTTGAATTGTATTTCTTAAAAAATAGAAAACGTATTAAGCAGCAACATGGAATAATTAACCACAAAAATATGGAACATAAATCTCATTTGCCTAATATCTCTTTTGAAGTCCTGTTTCACTGTATAAGTATTATGTGTTTTGTTTCACAGCTAGATACAGCCAGTTTTTTCTCTAAGCCTAAGGTTACTCCTCAAATTTATGGTGGCTTTTTGCTCTTCTAAGTTTCTATAAAACTTCAGCAACCTGCAGCAGGTTGAAATTTATTGATATTTAGTTATTCACCAGGCCATATTTACAGTCAGGGATTGACTTACCCAAACCAGATGCTCCCCCTGCCAGCAGATCACTAGGAGATATTGCAATAATTTCCCTGGTTACTAAATTAGCAAAAGATTCTCAGGGAGAGAGAAGGGCAAGATGGCACAGTTTAATACTTACTATTATTCTTTTATTCTTTACCATCATTCCTTTTGAATGGATTAAGAATCTGACATACACATAACTTACTAACGAAAGGGAGTTAGGTGAGAGGGAAGACATATTTGTCTAAGAAAAGTCTTAGAGAAATATTTTGAAAAGAGATAGAAAGAAGAGTTGGATTGGAGTGGGTGGGTAGGGAATCACAGTAAGGAGATGGATCATTCACAATTTCTTTAGACATGGTGAGGCAGCCACAGGAAGTCTGAACTTGTTGAAACCCTAATCCGAAGCCAAAAAAAGTGCTCAATAAGGTCATACTTTGATCACCTCTGCCTAAAGCAGTTATTCACACCCTACTTTTGGGAGAGGAAACATCTACAAACCTTTGTTCTCTTTGTTTGTTAGCAGAGGGATGACATGAATTTGGGAAAAAAGTTTGAGAGACAGAATGAGATTTAGCTCAAACAAATGATTGACTCATGCTGGGTTGAAAATGTGCTCTAGCCGTATGTAGAAAGCTGAAACTGGATCCCTTCCTTACACCTTATACAAAAATTAATTCAAGATGGATTAAAGACTTAAATGTTAGACCTAAAATCATAAAAACCCTAGAAGAAAACCTAGGCAATACCATTCAGGACATAGGCATGGGCAAGGACTTCATGTCTAAAGCACCAAAAGCAATGGCAACAAAAGCCAAAATTGACAAATGGGATCTAATTAAACTACAGAGCTTCTGCACAGCAAAAGAAACTACCATCAGAGTGAACAGGCAACCTACAGAATGGGAGAAAAGTTTGCAATCTACTTATCTGACAAAGGGCTAATATCCAGAATCTACGAAGAACTCAAACAAATTTACAAGAAAAAAACAAACCCATCAAAAAGTGGGTGAAGGATATGAACAGACACTTCTCAAAAGAAGACATTTATGCAGTCAACAGACACATGAAAAAATGCTATCATCACTGGCCATCAGAGAAATGCAACTCAAAACCACAATGAGATACCTTCGCATACCAGTTAGAATGGCGATCATTAAAAAGTCAGGAAACAACAGGTGCTGGAGAGGATATGGAGAAATAGGAACACTTTTACACTGTTGGTGGGACTGTAAACTAGTTCAACCATTGTGGAAGACAGTGTGGCCATTCCTCAGGGATCTAGAACTAGAAATACCATTTGACCCAGCTGTCCCATTACTGGGTATACACCCAAAGGATTATAAAACATGCTGCTATAAAGACACATGCACACATATGTTCACTGTGGCATTATTCACAATAGCAAAGACTTGGAACCAACCCACATGTCCATCAATGATAGAATGGATTAAGAAACTGTGGCATATATACACCATGGAATACTATGCAGCCATAAAAAATGATGAGTTCATGTCCTTTGTAGGGACATGGATGAAGCTGGTAACCATCATTCTGAGCAAACTATCACAAGGACTAAAAACCAAACACCACATGTTCTCACTCATAGGTGGGAATTGAACAATGAGAACACTTGGACACAGGAAGGGGAACATCACACACTGGGGCCCGTCAAGCGGTGGGGGGAGGGGGGAGGGATAGCATTAGGAGATATACCTAATGTAAATGATGAGTTAATGGGTGAAGCACACCAACATGGCACATGTATATATATGTAACAAACCGGCACGTTGTGCACATGTACCCTAGAACTTAAAGTATAATAAAAAAAAAAAAAAAAGAAAAGAAAATGTGCTTTTTCAACAGGTAGGTTGAAAATGTGCTTCAGCATTTAGGATACCAGATGTAAACATCCATGCATAGAATTAGAAAGGTTCAACTTTCATGGCTGCTATGGTTTGAATGCTCCCTCCAAAACTTATGTTGAAATTTAATCCAAAATAGGATAATATTGAGAAGTGGACTTTTTAAAGAGGGGATTGGATCATGAAAGTTCCTCCCTCATGAGTGGATTAATCCATTCGTGAGTGGATTAATGGGTTATCTTGGGAAGGAAACTGGTGGATATATAAGAAGGGGAAGATAGACCTGAGCTAGCATGTTAGCATTCTCAGCCCTCTCGCCATATGATACCCTGTGCTACCTTGGGACTCTTCTGAGAGTCCCCACAAGCAAGAAGGCTCTCAAAAGATATGCCCCATCGACCTTGGATTTCCAAGCCTCCTTAGCTGTAGAAAATAAATTCAGTTCTGTATAAATTACTTAGCTTTGGATATACTGCTATAAGTAACATAAAATGGACTAAGACAATGGTCTTATCCTGAACTTTGTAAACTAGAATTGGCTGTTTAGCTTCAGCATGTATTTTTTTATAGATTCAAAATAATTTCATTTTGAATTGCATAATGAAGGAATGTCATAAGGTTTTCAGCATATAGAGGCTCTAAATATCAGTCTGGCATTGTGATAAAGCAGAGAGTTTAAACCAAGTCCTATTTGTGACACATGACCTTTCTTTCTGGTTACAGCTCAGTAACATAGGAATGGATACTTAACTCAAGGATAAGCATATAATACATGAGGCTTTTTTTCAAAATTTTGATTTAGAAAATGAAGTATTCTAGTATGTTAATTATAGACATTTCAACTGAGAAGTCTAATAGCATTGGACCAGAATAGTCACAGCAGTCCAAAGCCATGGATAAACTTAAGTTAAAGGCAACAAATAATAAGAGCCTTCCACATTAATCTCTATCAGAGAAGATGATAAACAGGTGAATGGGGACTAGAAACCATGCAGCTTTAGAACTAGACATAAAACAAACAGCTATCTAATGATTTCCTATTTACTATGAGCCCAAGATATTCTTGTATCCTCTCAGTTAAGCTCCTGTTTTACTAAGGAAATTTAAGTAAGATTCTGTCTCTTGCAAGAAAATAACATCTAAGACATCTTCGAATTTAATGCTGCTTTAATTTTGTTTATACCAGTGGTCCCCAACCTCTTTGGTACCAGGGATTCATTTTGCGGAATATAATATTTTCATGGACAGGGTTGGGGGGAAGGTTTCGGGATGAAACTGTTCCACCACTCAGATCATCAAGCATTACACTCTCATAAGGAGCGTGCAACCTAGATCACTTGCATGCACAGTTCACAGTAGAGCTGGTGCTTCTATGATAATCAAATGCTGCCAGTGATCTGACAGGAGGCAGAGCTTAGGAGTAATGCTCACTCATCCACCTCTCCCATCCTGCTGTGTGGCCCAGTTCCTAACAGGCCACGGAACGGTACCAGTTTGTGGCCTGGGGGTTGGGACCCCTGTTTTACACTATAACATTTGCACACGTCTCTCATGGCCTGTCTTTCAGATCTGCTGTTTGTCTCGACTCAAGTCTAGCTACCTGAAAATTAGATTTTTTTTTTAAATTGAATTTGAATATCTTAAAGTTGAATACACAGTCTCCACTTTTACACGGCCCCTACTGTCTTACATCATACCTCTCTAGCCCTGGAAGATAGCAACTTTACATTCACTTTTCCTGTTTTAGGGCTATTATTTTATCTTCAGTTATCAAAATCTATCTACTTTTAAATACTTTAACTTGAAAATACATAGTAAGCAATTATGGATTATTTAAAATAGTTTTCCCATGAGTATAAAAAAAAAAAGAATAGCAAAAGCAATATTTGTTGAGTATTTAAAAGTGCCAGGCACTGTGCAACATGCTTTGCTTAAGTAAATGTTTGACAAAATAGAAGGTCTTTTAAAAGTTCCATGTTTTAACGTTAATAACCATATCAAGATAAGGTTAGATATTCTATCAAATTACCATTTTTGTGAAGATAGGCCTTTTCTGCTATATAGAATCTCCTCAAACCTGAGTGTTCACATTATGGATTATCTAGTATACTCCACAGCTATCAAGTTTGTTTGTGTTTCTTTCTCAAGTAAGCTATCTTATTTATCTTATTTCTCCTTATTTCTTCAGACTTTTCCTCTCATTTCTTTCTCTTTTTCTGGTTTTTTTTTTTTTTTTTTTTTTTTTTGAGACTGGGTTTCGCTCTTGTTGCCCAGGCTGGAGTACAATGGCATGATCTCGGCTCACTGCAACCTCCGCCTCCTGGGTTCAATTGATTCTCCTGCCTCAGCTTCTTGCATAGCTGGGATTACAGGCATGCACCATCACATCCGGCTAACTTTGTATTTTTAGTAGAGACGGGGTTTCTCCTTGTTGGTCACGCTTGTATTGAACTCCTGACCTCAGGTGATCCGCCCACCTCAGCCTCCCAAAGTGCTGGGATTACAGGCGTGAGCCACCATGCCTGGCCCCTATCCTCTCATTTCTAAGGAAATGACAAATTAAGTATTTTATGCAAATACAGTGTAGGGTCATTTAAAATATTTTTTGTAATAGATGTCTCTGTACATAAATCTATTTAATTTTTTCTTTTACAATAAAAAGGTATTAATGTGTTTTAGTTTCACCAAAAATTTCAGTAGACCAACTGTGTAAAGGTACACATTTATATCAATTTTTTTGACCTAGTAAAAACTAAAGAGGGAAAGTTATTCAAATATTTCAGCATAAATTCCCTTTCCTTGAAATTGCAATCGTCATGTGTAGCTACAATTGCTCAGTATTACTCTGTAGTATGAGTAGCTACAATTCCTCAGCATAAGAAACACTGAAGTAGACAATTGTTAAGAAAACAAAGTCATAACAAAACAACAAAAACAACAAAATTAAAAACTAGGATATAGAAACATTAACTAAATGTTACTCTTGAAGCCGATATAAGAGAAATTATTGTACTAGACACTGTGGTTCATCATCCAGATCCCATCTTCATGGGAACACATCAATCCCACACTCATAGGGGATATCAGCAGCTGACCATTCACATCTGTACCTTTCACGAAATATTGCCCTAAGACAAACTAAAATGAACTAACCTGCCCAAAGCGGTGTCTCCTTTCGGAGAGCATCCATTGACTCATAGCTGGCTAATGTAGTGATACAAAGATGCAACTGCTTTGCCTCAATTTGGGACAACTCTGAAAGATGCCCAGTAGGACTGGCTGAAGACTCAGTTCAAAGTTGTCAAATAAAGTAAACCATGCCCAGTTGAATTTACATTGTTTAGTATGAGTATGTCCCATGAAATATTTAGGAATTACATAAACTACACATTATTCATGATTTATCTGAAATTTAAATTCAACCAGGCAACTTGTACCTTCACGTGGTAAATCTGGCAGCTTTTACTTAGTTGCATCTGCATTGTAGGTAAGCATGTCGGTATGCACAGACCTCTCTTCCGTGCTTCCTTACAAGTGCGTCCCAGAAAACAAGTATTCATCTCAGAGCCAACGGGCATTGAGGCATTCGATAATCATACTCCCAAAGGTCAAGGATAAAGAAAATATCCCAAAAGCAGCAAGAGAACAAACAAGCAAACACATAACATACAATGGAGCTTCAGTATATCTGGCAGCAGATTTTCAGTGGAAACCTTACAGCCAGGAGAGGGTGGCATGACACATATAAAGTGCTGAAGGAAAAAATAAAAAATAAAAAACTTTTACCCTACAATAGTGTATCCAGTAAATATATCCTTTGAGCATGAAAGAGAAATAAAGACCTTCACAGATAAACAAAAGCTGAGGAACTTCATCAATACCAGACCTATCAAAGAAAAGGTTGTTAGTGAGCAAGAATAAATTATCTGAGGATACAAACCTCACTGGTAATACTAAGCACACAGAAAAACACTGAACAGTGTAGCACTGTAATGGTGATTTATAAATTACTCTTGACTTAAGTAGAAAGAATAAATGATAAATCAATCCAAAATAATAACTACAATAACTTTTCAAAACATAGACAGTATAATAGGACATCAAGAGAAAGAGCAATAAGTTAAAAAGCGGGGGGAGATTTTCAAGTGTAGAATTTTTATTAGGTTTCTTTTTGGTGTTTGTTTGTTTATGTAACCAGTGTAAAATTGTCATCAGTCTGAAATAATGGTTTGTAAGATAATATTTGCAAGCATTGTGGTAACCTCAAATTGAAAAAATTACAGCAGATACACAAAAAAAGGAAAAGAAAGAAATTAAATCCTACTGCCAAGAATATCACCTCCACTATTGTAAGAAAGGAAGAAGGAAGTGAAGACCACAAAATCATCAGAAAACAAACAGCAAAATGGCAAGAGTAAGTCCACACTTATCAATGATAACTTGTAATGTAAATGGACTAAATGCTTCAATCATAAGACACAGAATGGCTATGGCTGAATGGATTTAAAAAAAAAGACAAATTATCTGTTGGCTATAAGAAACATTTCTCCTATAAAGACACACATCGACTGAAAGTAAAGGCACGGAAAAATATATTCTATGCCAATAAAAACCAACGAAAGAGCAGGAGTATCTATACTCATATAAGACAAAATGGATTTCTCGACAAAAACTGTAAGAAGAGAAAAAGAAGGTAATTATATAATGATAAAAGAAGCCAATTCAGCAAGAGGATAAAATGATTGTAAATATATGTGTACCCAATACTGGAACACCCAGATATACCAAGCAAATATTATTAGCGATAAAGAGAGATATAGACCCCAATACAACAATAGTTGGAGACTTCAACACCCTACTTTCTGCATTGGACAGATCTAAGACAGAAAATCAGGAAAGAGACATTAGACATAATCTGCACTATGGACAACAAGGATCTAATAGATATTTACAGAACATTTCATTCAATAGCTGCAAAATACACTTTTTCCTTCTTCTCCTTTTTTTTTTTTTTTTTTTTTTTAAAGACAGAGCCTGGCTCTCTCACCCAGGCTGGAGTGCAACTGTGTGATCTCGGCTCACTGCAGCCTCCACCTTCTGGGTTCAAGTGATTCTCCTGCCTCAACCTTCTGCTTAGCTGGGATTACAGGCATGTGCCACCATGCCCAACTAATTTTTGTATTTTTAGTAGAGACCGGGTTTCACCATGTTGGTCAGGTGGTCTTGAACTCCTGACCTTAGGTGATCCGCCAGCCTCAGCCTACCAAAGTGTTTGGATTACAGGCGTGAGCCACCACACCCGGCCAAAATACACATTTTTCTCTTCAGCACATGGAACATTCTCAAGGATAGAACATGTGTTAGATCACAAAACAAGTCTTAAAACATTCAAAAAAATTGAAATATCAAGCATCTTATCTAACCACAATGGAATAAAACTAGAAATCAATAAAAAATTAATTTTGGAAATTTAAAATATATGCTCTTGAATGACCATCCAGTGTTTCAGTGAAAAAGTTAAGAAGGAAGTTCAAAAAGATCCAAAACCTATGATATAACAAAAGCAGTACTGAGAGAAATTTATAGCAATAAGTGCCTACATCAAAAAAGAAGAAAATTTCAAAATAAATAATCAAAAGATGCATCTTATAAACCTGGAAAAGCAAGAGCAAACCAAACGCAAAATTACTTGTAGAAGAAAATAAATAATAAAGACAAGAGCAGAAAAAAAAATTCCAATGAAGAAAACAATACAAAAGAATAATGAAATAAAAAGTTTGTTTGTTGAAAAAATAAACAAAATGGACAAACTTTTAACCAGCTCACTTAGCAAAAAGGAGAAGACCCAAATAAATAAAAGTGGAGATGAAAAGGGAGACATTACAACTCATACCACAGAAATTCAAAGGATAACTACTGGCTACTATGAACAACTATATACCAATAAAATGGAAAATCTAGAGGAAATGGATAAGTTCCTAGACACATACAAGCTACCAGAATAGACGCAAGAAGAAATAAAAAAACTGAACAACCAATAACAAGTAACAAGATTAAAGCTGTAATAAAAACTATCCCGGTAAAGAAAAGCCCAGGACCCAATAGCTTCACTGCTGAATTCTACCACACATTTAAAGAACTAATACCAATTCTACTCAAACTATTCTGAAAAATAAAACAAGACAGAATACTTCAAAACTCATTCTATGAGGCCAGTATTATCCTGATATCAAAATCAGACAAAGACATAAAAAAAAACTATAGGCCAAAATTTCTGATGAAATAAATATCATTGCAAAAATCTTCAACAAAATACTAGCTAACCAAATTCAACAATACATTAAAAAGATTATTGAATATGACAAGTGAGATTTATCCCAGGTATGCAAGGAAATCTCAACATATGCACATCAATCAGTGTGATACAGCATATCAACAGAATGAAGGGCAAAAACTGTATGATAAATTCCATTGATGTTGTAAAAGTATTTGATAATGTTCAACAACCTTTCATGATAAAATGTCTCAACAAACTGTGTTTAGAAGGAACTAACCTCAACACAATAAAAGCTATATATAACAGACCCACAGCTAGTATTATACTGAATGGGGAAAACCTGAAAGCCTTTCCTCTTATATCTGGATCATGGCAAGGATGGCCACTTTCATTACTGTTGTTTAACACAGTACAGAATGTCCTAGGCAGAGCAATCAGACAAGAGAAAGAAACAAAGAGCACCCCAACTGGAAAGAAATAAGTCAAATTATCCTTGATTGTAGATGTTATAACCTTACATTTGGAAAAACCTACAGACTCTATCAAAAATCTATTAGAACTGATAAACAAATTCAGGAAAGTTGCAGGATACAAAATCAATATAAAAATAAAAAATTTTAGAAATAAAAAATTCAACACATTTACAATAGCCACAAATAAAATAATATACCTAAGAATTAGCCAAAGAAGCAAAAGATCTCTAGAATGAAAACTACAAAAGACTGATGAAAGAATTTAAAGCATACAAAGAATAAAATGGAAAGATATTCCATGTTCATAGGTTGGAAGAATAAATATTATTAAAATGTCCATAGTACCCACAGCAATTCACAGATTCAATACAATCTATATCAAAATACCAATGACATTACTCACAAAAATAGAAAAAAATTCTAAAATGTATGTGGAATCATAAAACACCCAGAAGAACCAAAGCTATCAAAAAAAGAAACAAACAAACAAAAAAAACCTGGAGAAATCACATTACCTGGCTTCAAATTACACTGCAGTGCTACAATAATCAAAGCAGCATGGTCTGGGCATACAAACAGACACATGGACTAATGAAGCAGAATAGAGAACCCAGAAACAAATCCACACATCTATAGTGAAGTTATTTTCAATGAAGATGCCAAAAACATACATTGGGGAAAAGATAGTCTCTTTAAAATATGGCGCTGGGAAAACTGGATATCCATATGCAGAAGAATGAAACTTGACCCCTATCTACTGCCATATAGGAAAATCACATCAAAGTGGATTAAAGACTGAAATCTAAGACTTCAAACTATGAAACTACTACAAAAAATTGAAGAAACTCTGCAGGACATTGGTCTGAGCAAAAGTTCCCTGAGTAATACCCTACAAGCACAGAAAACCAAAGCAAAAATGGAAACATGAAATCACATCAAGTTAAAAATCTTCTGCACAGCAAAGGAAAAAATCAACAAATTGAACTGACAATCCACAGAATGATAGAAAATATTTGCAAACTAACCATCTGACAAAGTATTAATAACCAGAATATATAACAAGCTCAAACAACTATATAGGAAAATTGATAACCCAGTTAAAATTGGCAAATATCAAATAGACATTTCTCAAAAGAAGACATACAAATAGCAAACGGGAACATGAGGAGGTGCTAAACATCACTGACCACCAGAGAAATGTAAATCAAAACAACAATGAGATATCATCTTACACCAGTTAAAATAGTTTTATCCAAAAAACAGGCACTAATGAATGCTGGAGAGGATGTGGAGAAAAGGGAATCCTCTTACACTGTGGGTGGGAATGTAAATTAGTACAACTACTATGGAGAGCAGTTTAGAGGTTCCTCAGAAAACTAAAAATAGAGCCACCACATGACCCAGAAATTCAAATTTTAGGTATAAACACAAAAGAAAGAAAATCAGTATATCAGATATATCTGCACTCCCTTGTTTGGCCAGCACTGTTCACAAAAGCCAAGATTTGGAGGCAAAGTGTCCATCAATAGGTAACTACATTTAAAAAATGTGGTTCTTATATACAATGGAGTACTATTCAGCCATAAAAAATGAGATTCTGTCATTTGCAACAACATGGATGGAACTAGAGCTCATTATGCTAAGTGAAATAAGCCAGGCACAGTAAGACAAGCATAACATGTTCTCACTTATTTGTGGGATCTAAAACTTAAAACAACTGAACTCACAGAGATAGAGAGTAGAAGCCTTGGAAGGGTAGTTGGGGGTGGAGGGAGGTGGTTAATGGATATAAAAATTAGTAAGAAAGAAGCAACAAAACCTAGTATTTGGTAGCTCAACAGAGGGACTATAGTCAACAATAATTTAATTGTAAATTTAAAAATAACTAAAAAAGTGTATTGGACTGTTTGTAACACAAAGGATAAATGCTTGAGGGGATGGAGACTCAATTTTTCATGAGGTGATTTTTACATATTACATGCCCGTATCAAAGCATCTCACATACCCCATAAATATATACACCTATTATGTACCCAAAAATATTAAAATTTAAAAATATTTAAAAATTTACTTGTAAAACAGCCTCAGGCCAATCTTTCAGGAGATATTGCACAAGAAGGCATTGTTATTATAGGAGACAACAGCTCCATGTGTGCTATTGCCCCAAACACCTTTCATTGGGACGAGACGTGGACGTGGAAGACAGCGATATAGATCCACATCTTGTGTAGCCCTAGGCTAAAATGTGTTTAACAAAAAAATTTAAATGTTAAAAAGTATACATTTAACAAAATAAAAAACTTATAGAACAAGGATATAAAGAAAGAAAATATTTTTGTGCAGGTGTACAATGTGTGCCTTAAGCTAAATGTTATTACAAAAGAGTCAACAAGTTAAATAAAAGTTTATTAAGTAAAGATACAGTAAGCTAAGATTAATTACTGAAGAAAAAATTAATAAATTTATTGTGATGAAGTGTACAGTGTTTATAAAGTCTACAGTAATGTACAGTAATGTCCTAGGCCTTCACATTTAGTCACTTCTCATTCACTGACTCACCCAGAGTAACTTCCATTCCTGTAAGCTCCATTAATTGTAAGTGCCTTGCATTGGTGTACCACTGCTTACTATTTATACAGTATTTTTATCATAACTTTTCCATGTTTAGATAATCAAATATTTTCCATTGTGTTATAGTTGGCTACAATTTCCAGTACAGTAACATGCTGTGCAGACTTGTAGCCTAGGAGAAATAAGCTATACCATATAGCAGAGGTGTGTAGCAGGCTATAACATCTAGGTTTGTGTAAGTAAGTACAGCCAATCATGTTCACACAATGACAAAATCACCTAATGCATTTCTTAGAAACTATGCCTATCATCAATCAAGGCATGACTGTATATCAGACCACTTTACTTATCCAAAATGAGCCTTGTGACAAATTCACTCTCTAGAACAAAATTGGATGATGAATTAGTAAAAAGAATCCCTTAACACAAAAATTATGACATTTTCTTACATCTTTTACTTTGTTAGACCAAGAATAGAAGACTTTTCTTCTCACTAGTAACTGCAATCAATTGGTATGACTTGGAGTACCAGGTATATCACTCTTGGCAACACATCTATTTTTAGTAGGACAAAACTGATGTGAAAAACTGAAAATCTCTTCAATAAGAGCATTGAAACTAGGAAAGGGGTTTAGTGAGATTTAGTATATGTATTTATTTACTTCTCTGTGGTTTTTAAACTTATCTTACTTCCTCTTTTTAAAACTCTGTCAGATTTATCACTGATTTCAGAATTACAATCTTTACCATAGACTACAAATCCCTGAGTAGTTATGTGATTTCCTCCCTTCTATCTTCCCAGTCCATCTCATACCATACATTTATTGGTCTTCTATGTCCTAGACACACCAGCCTTTTAAGAGGACTCTTTATTAATCACAAAGATGTTGAACAGATGATTCTGACAGCCTGGAATTTTCTCTCTCCACTTTTCTTTTTCTTTTACCTAGGTTGAATTCATTGTTTAGATCTCAACTGAAATATTCCTTCTTTGTGGAAGCTTCACCACATGACCCAGATTATGCTAGGTCTCATAACATGCTGGGGCCTTCTCAATATTGTGATTAACCATGAGCATGATGTATTTTGCCTGGACTATATTGCAGACAAAGGGCGGACTGCAAATGCAGCTGCCGAACAAATATCTGTGGAAAGAAAAAATGATTCCTTATTTTAGACCTCTACTCTGTCTCATTAGCATTAAATGTCACACAAGTCTTCCAAGCTTATTTATCTGATTTTCCAACCTGAGATAAAATAGAAGCAGCTAATAGATACACAGCACAGTGGAAAGGCAATATTAGAAATAGGTTCAGCAGGACAGGCGCGGTGGCTCACGCCTGTAATTTCAGCACTTTGGGAGGCTGAGAAGGGCGGATCACGAGATCAGGAAATCGAGACCATCCTGGCTAACACGGTGAAACCCCATTTCTACTAAAGACACAAAAAATTAGCCGGTCGTGGTGGCGGGCGCCTGTAGTCCCAGCTACTCGGGAGGCTGAGGCAGGAGAATGGCGTGAACCCGGGAAGCAGAGCTTGCAGGGAGCCGAGATCGTGCCACTGCACTCCAGCCTGGGCAACAGAGCGAGACTCCATCTTAAAAAAATGAAAGAAAGAAAAGAAAAGAAAAGAAGAGGAGAGGAGAGGAGAGGAGAGGAGAGGAGAGAGAGAGAGAGAGAGAAAAGAAAGAAAGAAAGAAAGAAGGAAGGAAGGAGGGAAGGAGGGAAGGAGGGAAGGAAGGAAAGAAGGAAAGAAAGAAAGAAAAAGAAAGAAAGAAAGGAAGGAAGAAAGGAAGGAAGGAAGAAGGAAAGAAGTTCAGCAATGGAAAAGAAAGTAAGTCATAAAAGTGAATTAGAATGCAAAGTCAAAGAACACATCCACATTTAATGGGTTTTTTTTTGTTTGTGTTTTTGAAAATTTAATTGAAGAAAGTAAAGTTACCCTGGCTTATAATAAAGTTAGATATTATAACAAAAGATAAGTCAGTGACCTTAATATGCAATGTGTTTTGGTTTACTCATCAGATAAAATATGTTATTAATGAACAAAATAAAAAAATCTAAAAAAGGAACATGTAGAGAAACCTAGAGCTTAGCAGTATAGTTCTCTGAAATATTAATAAGTTAAGAAATATACACCAATGAGAAATGACTTCAGAAGTTTCACTCCAAGGGCCATTATAGCTCTGGAAATTCTTAAAGGATTCATTAAATTTTCAAGCACAGAAATTTGTTCATTTAATTGATTTTTATATATGCTTTTTACCCCTTTTGTTAGTTCTGATCATCCTTAACCTACACACCAAATATGCTACAATTAAAAAGAGAAAGCTCATAATATTTTAATCCCCAAACATAAAAACTGAATTTATTAAGTACCTACTAAAGTCTAGAAACTTTGTTACACATACCACATAATTTTATAACTAAATATGTAACATCACAAAATCGAGATTCAAAATCTAACATTGGTGGAAAATGCAAAGCATGAGTTTAATAAGATATTAACCAAAATGCACACCTCTGTCTCTGCTATAACTACCTCACCTCTGGTTTGCACTAGACTTGGGTTGCCACTTGATCCATAGAGAACCGTTATTAAAAACAAACCAGAGAGTAATTATGTCAAAACTCACAAAGCCCTGATTTAAATCATGAGAAATCTGAATAAAGCCTCCCTTGTCACACCTGTCTAATTAGCACGGACTCTAAATTGAGGAGGGGAGCCCTAAAAAGGAATTTTGTTGTAGCTGTAAAAATGTATACTCTTTACCAGCAGTTACAAAAACAAATAATCTTCATTTGAAGCAAGCTCTCCAATTTTTCACCAGGATAGTGAATGAGCAAAGCTACATATATCCTGCAGAGTTGCTAGACACACAAAGCAAAGGATATAGGTATTACACTAATTAACAACAATGGGACAAATCATTAAACATCAAGTAGAACATTCAGCCAAGATGATGAACAAATTATCTGTAAGCTAAGATTAATTTGTTACTGAAGAAAAAAATTAATAAATTTAGTGTGATGAAGTGTACAGTGTTTATAAAGTCTATAGCAATGTACAGCCATATCCTAGGCTATTAAATGTTATAAGTATTAGTAGTAGCAGTATTGGTAGTATTATCCTCTTTTCAAATTTTAACCACAGAGCTTACATATGTATAATGATAACATGATAAATAGGAATCAGTTTTTACATTGGTTTTGATGGTTCACACTGTCTCAACTCATGGTATCTTGTTAGCAAAAGTGCCTCTATTGTCCAGTTAGGCCTGATTTTAGTCTGGCATACAATTAAATCTAATATGTGGATGCACATAAACAGTTTGATTAGATTTTTGGGGAAGTAGGTTTCTGCAGACATGAGCCACTGCTTGAATATGCAATATACTAATCCAATCAATCACCTTGATACATTTAGTTGTTTTATTTTTATAATTCTCTATAACAGGTTTATCAGTCAAATTTATTGGTTATACTTATTGGTGTAAATGAAGAAATACTTTTTTTGTTCCCTCTCATCACTACCTTTAAATATGCTCGTTGGAATCTCTTTTTCCCATCACTTGAGAATAACTCCAGCCAATCTCCAGCTATCTAGCAATTTCCAAACACACTTTCAATAAAATTGAAAGACAATAAATCTATTTTTGGTAAATTTGACTTACTTTCAGGTTTTAAAAAGGTCTAGTTGCATGTAAATTAAAACTACAATTTTGCAACCAAATTAAAACATTTTCCCTACCTGTTCCTCACCTAGCTCAGAATTGATATGTAACAGGAAGACCTGTGGTTGTTTATCCAGATGTCCTTCTTTTGTCTATGGCTCCATTAGGATTGTAATGGGGAAAACAAGAATCATAGCAGGAAGAATTAAAAGAAAAGAGAAAAGCTTTTTTTTTTTTTTTTTTTTTTTAAATAATCTCATCTTTATTTCTATTGAGAGGCAGGCACCCAAATGCTTCTTCTGTCGGGGAGTGAATTTGTAAGTTCTTTGTAACTCTGTGCTACCTATTTGTTAACCTGAGTAATTTGTTCTCCTGCTCACTTCTTGCTAACACTTGCCAGCGGATACCTGAAGCCTCTTACATCTTCTGTGGCATGCACTTGGCCTATATATAGCATATTCATTCACCTAAAGTGGGAAGAATAATCTGGCATCTTTTCTCTTTCCCCATCTTGCCATCAAAAGCTGCCTCAACGAGCATGTAGCCTTCAGAATTTTGAAAGCCAGAAGCAGGTAACAACTTGCCATGTTTAGCTTCATCTTGAAACTCTTGAGGACACCTATCAAACTTTCCCAAAACTGTCTCATCATGTATGGTTCCATTGCAGGATGGGTGCAATGCTGAGTGCCAGCAGGGGAGGAATATCCCATTCTTTCCTTCTTGAAATTGCCCCCAGTCTTTTTGAGCTCTCTTCCTATTTGGAAGGAGAACTAAAGCAAGTTTAGTTCTCCTCACAAAAGAGAAAATAATTGAAAGCACTCTCACTTAGGCAGCTAATTCACTGTCTATATGATAATTCTTAGAATGCCTAGTCCTCTCTTTACATAAGAGCACAGGTAATTGAGGTCAATGAAGGTTGTAGAGTCACAGAACTTGTCTGGCTACTTTTTATTAAATCCTGCAAAGACTTAACTATTCTTCTGTAATTTAGGGATACCGGTCATTTAATAGGGAATAAACAAAAATCTGAGACATAAGGAAATTCTGTATCCATTCTATATATGTATAAATTATATATAGAAAAATAGTTTAGAAGAGTTAATATCAATTTGAAAATAGGAATTTTAAAGCTGTGAATAATACATAGCATAAATATGTATAAGGATTCAGCAAAATGTTAGTTGACATGTGGCTAAATAAACTTAAAGTTTAAGAAAGATAAGAAAAGAAACCAAATATGCATAAATCTGGGGACAAAATTTGATATTGCTGCTAATAAAAAGGGGAGGGGCATCATATTGGGAAGCTTCATTAATAAAAGTAACAAATTATGAGAACAAATAGTCTTATTATAGTTTATCTGGTGAAGCATTTTAATGAGGCGTAGTTGTCTGTTCCATTACGGAAAGAGTTTTCTTATGTGTGCTCTGGTAGATTTTCATGTGGCCACACTGAAAGATACTCCCAAATGTCTGACTAATAATTCTATTTATAGGCAACTGTTCTGAAGGTTTAAAGTAAGGAGGATGAAGTTCATTTGGAAGCAGTGGGGAAAAAAATGGTAATGCTGGGCTTTGAATTTTATGGATGCTGTAGCTGTTCTTTATTTTTCAATAAATAAATGTTTTAAATGCCATGTTTTTTAGCTATTGCAGTTAAACTGCCCTCATCTTTTTGCCCAGCAAAAAACCCATTAAGTTATTCACTGAGATTGACTCTAGATTTTTTATAAAATTAATAACTTTGCTACCAGTTTCTCAAAAATGAGTAGAAACGACTTTTCAATGCAAATGCCAGTTTTTGCTACAGTGAAATTATTCTGTCTGTAGTGACTATTTGAACATTTATGGGCAATAGGACATTGAGAGATTTAGTATATGAACTACGAATAGATTTATCCTTAGATTATCTAATACATGTTTTCCACCTTGCAACATAAAACCTGATCTCTTTTTAAAGTCCTGGTTGTTCTGAAAAATGAAATGAAATTATAGTAAATGGAATTTTGACTGGGGGGAAAAAAACTTCACATGATTTAAGAGAATGGATGCTGGCAATTGACTATCTACTGTTTATTCAAAGCTTATAGATTAGCAACCAGATGTGGCAGAAAGTTGGCTGTTTTTCATTCACAACAAAAACGATGCTGTGCTTAATGAACGGAGGTTTGTTATCCCAGTAATAAGTAAAAGGAACATGAAAGCCCTTGTGTTTAATGCTTATGCAAATAAGCTATTTGCAGGTGGCTTTTGGGCAGAAGGTAAAATAGTTTCAAAACTGGGTCAAGTTTTTTAATCCTCAAAAATTGCCAGCTAGAGGAAAACCTCCTAAAATCTTTATTATGCTATTTGCCAAGTAAATGAAATGACATCATTTATCATTTAATAAATTACATATGAAAATTCTTTTCCTTATGATTTCATCAATCAACAAATAAATTCTAGAGGATTCTAGATACATTTATTTGGCATATTTTTTAATGCGGTATCAAATTTTGTGGATATTCTTTTAGAGAATCAATTTCTTAAAATGGCATTGAACATTTAATTTAAAATGCCCTTCTTGAACCATACATGTTTATTAGAAAATTATTTTATATAGGTTGTCCATTAAAAAACAATTTTCTATGTATGTAAACATTTATGATAACTGCTCAATATTTTGGTCCATATTTATTTATCTACCTATTTATTACACAATACAAATATTACACTTTGTAAAATTAAAGGCCTAGTCTAATATTACTCTATGTCGGAAGTAAAATAATTCAGAGAAGTCTATATTAAAAGACAAGATAAAACACAAAATGATGAGAATCACAAAACCATTGCCAAATTTTCAGCTATGACATTTATTCTCCATGTGGCCTTAGGTATCTTACTCTCTTATTTTAACCTTTGATGACTATAAAAATAATTTGTTACTAAGAAGCCCTCTCGCTTTAGTAGCTGTGACTATAAAATTAAGAACATAATTCACAAAAAGTGTTTGAGTCTTCCTGAAAACATTTTAAAATATCAATTAATCATTGCACAATACACAATCGCCTGATCATTTGCTAAAAGAGGGTTGCATTCTCATCTCTGTTCACTCTGTCCTTTCTGAGACTCATATAGGTGTGAGAGCTAGAAAAAATATTAATGTGTAGCAATTCAGATTTTCTCATTGATGAATCACTTCAGCAGTGCACAGAATACTTTGTAATTTTAAAAAGGTGTTTTTATTAATATACTTCTACTATTCTACCCCAATCAACAGCAAATTTACCTAAATCATGAGACTGCTGGAACTGCTAAGTTTTATAAATAAAAGACTTAAGAACTACTATTAAACCCTGTGAATCCTTTATCTACAATGAGAATGTCCATGAGTCAGCTCTTCTGACCCTCTGGCCAGTGTTCTGGAGTTACTGATCTGCAACTTTCTAATTGAACTCTAGCTTGGTATGTGAGAGCAGCTGTGGGTTAACCAGCGGGGCGACATTTAAGTCTTGACATTGCCATTAATGATTCACCACCTGTTGCAAGTTCAATAAGTTATTCACACACCAAATTGTGGCCACAGAATTCATTGAGATAAACTAAGTTAGAAGGATTGGGTGTCAATAAATGTTTGCTAAATCAGAATTGTTAATGATAGAAATCCGTAGCTTAACAAAGTTGAGAAATCTTGTCTTCTTAACGTGTATTTATTGACTTCCCAGGATATGTCTTAGTGAGGAAACATAGCTTCTGGCATTTATTATTAGAGGGATAAGGAATAATAAACCACAGTGATTGAGAGACAGGGAAAGGCCGGGGGACCTAGAGACACAGTAACAGAAGAAGTTTAATTGGCTAATGAAATAAACTTGAGATAAGAGAGCAGAGAGGAGGTTCAAGAGATGAAACCACATATTCCTCTCTATCTGCTCCCACCATCAAGGGAATTAATAACATATTTTATAATGAATCCCTGATAAATATTAGTGTATAATTGAAAATCTATTAAAATGACTATTTCTCAGGGTGCAGAAAAATATTAAAACAAGTAAAGTTGCCATAAGATGGAATATTATATTTTCCTGCATGTCTGCTTCAAGGCTGAATCCTAATGGTCATGTATGTAGGTAAATTATTCTTCCTACAGCAACTTCTGGGAGGTGGTATGTGGTGGGGTATAAAAGGCCAGGGGTGTAGTGAGGGTAAAGTGTAAGTACTTTGATCTTGAGCCTTGACTATATTGGACTTGGGATCTCAGAAATCTTGGGGATAAACCGTGGATTAAATCCATAAATTCATAAAGTGTTGGTTATACAACGGGTAGAAACTACGTGCCACTTTTGGAGGGACAGTCTCCTTTTTTTTTAAAAAAAAAAAAGGCCTTAAAGGCTATATATATATATATATATATATATATATATATATATATATATATACAGTCTTTTTTATTATAATAAATACTATTTTGTTTTTTTTAAATGAAACAATCTGCACATATACAACTCCACTCTGAAGGCAATTATTTACATAATTATGCATAAATTCCTATAGTTATGTTAGTAGTTGCCTTTCTTCAGAGTGGAGTCATATATGTGCAGATTGTTTCATTTTAAGAAAAGAAATATTTATTTATTTGATTAACTGAAATTATGCTTAAAAATGATTAAAATGCACAGATCTGTCTTCATGAAGTTTAAATGTCTTATAAGAAATTAAAGTAATAAAGACTACAACATTTATTATTTAACTGTAACTGTAGTGGGTAGTAAAAGAGAAAGCCCAGTGTGTTGGCTTTCAGTAGTAAAAAACCCAACTTGTGGTTAGGAAACGCCATTGTTTATTGTATCTAAATTAATCAAGTTGTATCCTGTAACAGGTTTCCTGTTATCCACTCGTCTTCCAACTTCTGAAGTATGCTTTAAATGACAAGGGAGAAACCCAGACACTACATTTTCTAGGATCTCAGCACAACAGAGCTCCAGGTGAAATTATGCTAAATAGTGGCATGAGCGTGAGATGTGGGTGGCATAAAGAAGAGGTTTAGAGTGTTTTTCTGGTGACCTCCTGTTTAAGTTTGACAAGCATCTGAAATCACTGCTAGCAACTTTCCCATAATTATTGTGTTTCCAGCCTTTATGAAAATAGCAGCAATTTTTTTTCCTTTCTTTGCCTATGTACACCATCTAATCATGAGATAAGTCTCCTTCTTAGTCCCTATATTAAATATCTTTTTACATGAAATACATAGATTGGGATCTTTTTCTGACCTGTTCCTGTCTGACATATTCTTCAACTCTAAGATGAGTTCATACTCATCTTCGGAAGCCCCTGGGAAATGGGAAGTTTTTTTTCATATTAGATGTTGGTAGATATAGAGGCCCATCCTTTAATAAACATCTATGTGCCAGAAAATGTACTAGGCACTTAGATACATTATTCATGTAACTCTACACAAATGTATCAACAACACAAAAAAAAATCTGTATAAAATAATAATTATTATATCCCTTATATGGAAACAGATCCAGAGAGGAAGATACACTAGCACCTGTAAATAGAGGATCCAAGAATTAAACATCCATCTGTCGGACTGACTACAAGCTCTTTCTTTTTCATAAAATGCTAATTTCTCTCCTGCTTCTAATATTTGTATCAAAATTTGTCATCTATTGTTATTGGGTTTATAGGTGGGTAGTGACTCCTTGGCTTCTATTTTGTTCTAGTGGATTACTGTCTTCTTTATTTTCATTCTAGTGTTTATTGAGAGTCCTAATTAATCAACCTGGCTGCTCTGACTTCCATCAGCTCACCATTGTCTCTTTTCCCAGCTCATAATTTCTGTAACAGAGCTCTAAGCTATGCTAAACTTCTGCTATATGCTGTCAGCCTCTCTAAATCCAAGTGCTCTTATCTGCCAAGTTTACATACACATGTTTAAAATCTTCTTATTGAATCTACATACAAAGTCTTCATGTCTTCCTCCTTGAAATAATAGCATTGTGAGAGAAAAAAAATCTTCATTCTTTTTAAAACTAATTCAGAATGTCTAGGTAACACAAGAACACTCTGCAACAAACAAGAGGTAAGGGAATATTTACCTGGTATTTCTGTGCCTCATTATCATTCTCACTCATTATAAAATTGGTATCTGAAAAAAATCTTGCTGTAAAAACAAAAAGTAATGTATAGAGAGTATAAACAAAGAGTTTGCTTCACATCATAACCATTATGCATCCCATTGCCAAAGGGAAGATAGTACACTACATGATTCCGGGGAGGAGCATCATTCACATAGACTATAGTGTGCATGGCACATGCAAGAGACCCCACAGTACTACCCGCTTTGTTCTCTTTGTAGACACACTCACGGATGATTCATACTCCCTGACCTGGAGTAGCCAAATAAAGAGTTGCATCAGTTTATTATCATTCTTTCCAGACCACTTTCTAGGTATTCCCATTATACATTCCTTCAAATAGAAAGATTTTATTCTGTAAATTGCATCGCACTGTACACATTTTTTTCTGAAATCTGAATAATTTCATACAGTTTCAACTGTGAGAGTACCTGACAGACTGACCTAACTCTAAGCTAAAACACTCATAAACTAGCACAGAAGCTTGTCATATCATTACACATTTATCCATTGCTCTAAATTACTTATAGTTTTTCCTGAAACATCTATTAATATTGCAGTTATTTGAGATGACTGTGAGCTTACTATTTGCCAGTGATGACATGAGCACCTTGGTTTAGTCTAGTGCCTGGCATTTAATAGGACCATTCTATTTATTTTCCTAAACTCTGGCAGCAAGATTAGCTCTAAGCATATTTTTTTATCACAACAATCGTCCATCTTTAACTACATGTGAGGAAAGCACTTTCTTATATTGCATTACACATTTTTATATGGCCACAGAAATCCTTACTTAATCTGACAAAATTAAGATAAATTTCTTTCTCCTAAGTTCAAGGAAAGAATCATTCTCTACTGTTTCCAAGGAGATGATTCTCCTTTTCTCAATTGCCAATTGTCTACTGCTTGTCCTGGGTTCCATCTTTTCATATGTCATGAGGATTCTCACCCCAGTGTTCTGCTCCTCTGAGTCAAAGCCCTTGACTTTTCACTTCTCAATTGTTTTGTTTGTAATTTTTTTGCTTTTATTTTTTTCTCCATAAATGCTATGAAAGTGTATGTAAAAATTTACCCATCTTTTATTTTATATTTGTTATCACATTTTATTCACATACCAAACTATACAGGAAATGAATATAAGCACATCTTTCTTAGTAGGAGGTAGAAGTAAAATTTTGTTTAGAATAAAAACAGAAAAAAAGAGAATCCAATTCCATATCACCAGTTTGCTCCTGAATGTGCAATAAGTTTCCACTTATGAGCTTGCTACTGTACACAACGCAAGAGCTTTTAAAAAATTGTCTACATGATAGTGGTTAAGAGCGTACTTTAGGCTAGGTTACTTTAAAAAAATATGTCATCATTACTTCTGCCATCAAAAGCTAATTCAATGTATCATAATTGTTAAAGTTGAGTAGGGTTAAGGATTCTTCTCATTCTATGGTTTCCTTATAAACACAGTTTCTAATAAATGTCTATTTTTTTCTGTGAAATTAAACCACTAGATATTGCTGAATGTCTGTATATTTCTTACATTTCTAGAATCTCATTCTTAATTTTTTTCTTATATTTTTCCTTCACCAAAGTCTTAAAACCTATGCACCTGGTGTCTATTATTTAAATTCTGTGATGTATTTTATTTGACTTTATTTGTGTTTTTAGTCTTTTCACAGAAATTAGTTTATTGTGATCTTCTTTTCCAAAAGGACTTAATTCATATCTCTTTTCCATACCTATCTTCATTAGCAGGTTGCATTTCAGTTTCTTCAGTGCTTTTTTAGATAATATATTTTACTACATCTTTCTTCACAACACTGTATATGCTCTGATGATCAGGTCTCTCATTTTTTTTAAGTTCTTGTCCCCTTTGGGACCCATGACAAAGTAAAGGGCAGATTTTTTCTCACCTGGCTTAAAAGTAAAAAGCCTTCATATGTTTCTCCTCTGATTCTTCTTAGGCCCAGCATTTCCAAAAACAAACTAGTACACAAAACATTAGAGTTGCAATGATACTTCAAAAGGTTCAAATACTAATTTTTGTCTGCTTTCTCTCTATAGTTTTCTTGTAGAGAAATTTTCTGTTATGAAGGTTGAACTATTTGCTATATGTTAATATTTTCCAAATAAAGTTTCCAAACTGATATTTAAATACATTCTCTCATATTCAAACATATTCTGAACTACTTTCTGTTGTGTCTCTAGATCAATATTTATAAAACTAGACAGTTCATATAATTTTTTTCCTTTGCTAACTTTCAAGATCATATCAAAAAGTACTACTGTTGATTCGGTTTTTTGTGTTTCATTATTTGAAACTGTATTGACCTTTTTCCTCTTATTTCTTTATCATTTCCTGTTATTTCATCTTTGTGAGTCTTCCCATTAATGTCTTTTTCTTTTTGAATTATTTATTTTTTAATTGACAAATAAACTGTATATATTTAAGATGTACCACATGATGTCTTAAAGTATACATACATTGTGGAATGGCTAAATCAAGCTCTTTAATGTATGCATATTTAATATATGCATTACCTTGTAATTGGGCCCCTTGAGATTTTAGTATCTCAGCATTTTTAGTGCCTGAGATTTAAAAAAGTCGGATTAGGCTCTTGCTTGCTTGCACAAAAGCCAACATCCCTTGTTCTCACAATACAATTGCAAACTGCTGATGTACTGTTTCTTTGTCAAGCAGGAGAAGATAACTTCAAGGTAACAAAAAACATTCGCAGAAGGAAAGAATGCCTATAAGATTGTTGCAACTAACTGTTGAGACCCAGAAGTCTGGTTGCTCAGGATGTTATCAGAGATTAAAGAAACACAAACTTCCCCATTGGTTCCCTAAAACTCCCCCTCTCTTACTCTCTGGCTGCAAACAAACCTCTCTGCTTTCTCTTATTGTTAAGACATATCTGACAGATCTTGCCCCGTTCTCGCTTTGGCCAAGTGGAATAAACTTTTATCTATCTCTAAGCGTTGGTGTGTCAGTGTTTGGTTTCGACTGAGCATCTGGTACATGAGCCTGAATTTGGGTCTCTACAACATCTTCACCTAGTTACTATTTTTGTGTGTGTGTGGTGAGAATACTTGAAATCTACTCCATTGGCAATTTTCAAATATAAATGTATTGTTATTCACTGTAGTCACCATGATGTGCAATCAATTTTTTGAACTTATTCCTCCTGGCTAACTGGAATTTTGTGTCTTTTGACCAACATCTCCGCAATTTCCCCCATGCCCTAGCTTCTGATGATGACCAATTAACTCTCTGTTTCTATGAGTTTTACTTATTTAAACTCTACATATAAGTGAGATTATGTCATGTTTGTTTTTAAGTGCCTGGCTTATTTCACTTGACATAAAGTCTCCCAGGTTCATACGTGTTGTTGCACATGACAGGATTTCTTTCCTTTTTAAGGCCCATTAACCTTTTGTAGATCTGTTACTGAGGTAATCAAAGCTTACTGGACAATTATGTTATTTGAGTAAATTGAAACATAACAGCTTATAAAGGGTCAAATGGTAGTAATAGCCTAAGAAATAGGTTTGGAATATTATTTCTTAGCATAAAAGACAAAGATAATATTGGTCAGAGTCTTCTAGGCTTGAATTCTTGGCTACTTAGATTTTATCAAGTAAATTGTAAAAGGATAACCAATCAATATTTCACATGTATTTCTGTATGAATTTTGATTTGACAAGAAAGACTGTGAAAACAAAACCACTATTATCTGTGAACTACCTAATGTGGAAATAAATATCCTTAAATAAAACCTTGAGAAAGTATATTACTCAATTTTTTTTCTACAGATATCCCATATGTTATAATATTTAACTGAAAACAAAATCTTTCTTCTTAAGAAAAGATTTTATTCAGTTTTAGAACGTTAAAGTTTCTCCACTCTAATATATACAGAACTTCTCTAACCTTTAAAAATACTGCTTTGCTTATTACTCATGATAATTGGGCCACATACATAATTAAAACACACCATTTATTATTTTGCCATGTGAAAGTGGCATCTGGTTCCCCAACTTGACTTCAAACTGTAATTTTAAACAAATAATAAAGTGTTTTGAAACATTAATGTCATTAATTGTCTTATCTATTGTCTATGTTCATCAGGAGCTGTGACATGCCCAAAGGAAGGTAATCAGAGGAAGGAAGAGAAGAAGCTAAGTTCTAGAGAATCCATTAATCATTCCTTAGATGACTGACCATTTTATTATTTTCCCAAGTAAGCTGAGGCTGACAATATCATGAATCATTTACATATATCAGTATTCAAATGTTCCATTTTTAAATTGGGAGGGGGTATGTTTTAGAATAGAATAATGAAATTCCCTCCATCTCCTCCTAATGTACATCATTAAGAAGAATCTAATGGAAACATAAGGTTCTAAGGCTCTTGTTGGAAACCATAATCAGAACTGGAGGAATTCTCTTATGGAAAACATTAAAAAAAGGAAATTCTAGCAATAGAATTCATTGTTAAAGCTGTAAGTTACAACAATATTGTCTCTGCATGCTGACTGTAATCCTCTATAATCTTCAAAGGCAAACAGGAACAGTAATAATCTTTTCATGTACTCTTAACTTCCTTCTCTGAAAGGCTAGAAAATGTCTTACATGTAGCACTCATAGTGTCATTTAATCAAACCCAGTTTCTATTTTTCTTCAACTTCTAGATGAATGGATGCTTAGTCTTTCGGGCACAATGTGAATTTCTTAAGGGTCTGTAGACTACATCTCCTATTTTTACTTCTCAAAGTTTCTCTCAAATTGTGATAAAAAGTTTCACTCTATTGGTACTGTTAACTGCCAACCACTTTGAAGGCCTCCTCCTCCACTTTTTTCTTTTTCCCCATATCTAGGCAAGCAGTAAGAAAACTCAGAGTCTCTATTCCTTGGCTACGGCAGGGAAGTTCAAACCATTTAAATCCTGAACTATTGGGGCTGAGGGTAAGGGACTCACTTGGGCCCAACCCTTAACCCCATTAAATACCAGAACTCCACTGACTCTTCCTTAGGTTTCACTTCCCACTGAACCTGAGCCCTTTTTGTTGTGGATTATTTTGCCCTTTAGTAGGTAATAATACCATGTAAGTAATAAATTTGTTTCATTTCCTTTCAGTCTTGATATCCATAAATTACTAGGGGCAGGGGTGGTGTAGAGTTGCCTAGTATTCACCAAATAAAGTAAAAACAACACACACACTGAGAGAAAAATCTAGAGAAACATTCCCACATTGCCACACACAGTTTTCTTGCTTGCTTCTGGTAAATATAACCTTCTCTATCCATGAGTTCAATTAACAACTTTGGATAGGAAATATTCATAAGGAAAAATGGATGGCTGCATGAAAGGAGAGTGTTCTACCTGACTTTATTCACTAATCAGGATATGCCTAAAAACTGGGTGGCAAAAACTGAACTGTAGGTTTTGAGAAAGATTCTAATAACAAGAAAAATGTACAAACATTTTTATTGTTGTTTATCCCTAAGCAAGACAGCATAACAACTATTTATACAACATTTACATTGCATTAAGTATTACAAGTAATCTAAAATGGATTTAAAATATATGAGAGAATATAAGTAGGTTATATGCAAATACTAGGCCATTTTATTAAAGGACTTGAGCATCTGGAGATTTTGGTATCTGTTGGGGGATGGGAGGTAGGGCGGCAGGTCCTGGAATCCATCCCCCATGGATACTGAGAGACAAACATACATAGAAGCTACAAAAGCAAATTACTTATTTCGCCTCTTGCTGTTGACTTAAGGAAAACTATGCACTGTATCATCAGTATAGAGAGTTCTTGAAAAGCCTAGATCCTCCCAAAGTTTGAATAGGTGTTGCAAATAGCGAGATGTGGTGATAGCTCAAATAGAGAACCTCTCGGGAAAACCATTTCCACATTTAGAAGCAAGTTTGAAGTGGCAGATGACTATTCCTTTTTTATAAATATATATATATATATATATATATATATTATACTTTAAGTTCTAGGGTACATGTGCACAACATGCAGGTTTGTTACATATGCATACATGTGCCATGTTGGTGTGCTGCACCCATTAACTCGTCATTTACATTACTTTTTCTACTGAAAATATTTTCTTGGCTTCCTGTCAAGTAATGTGAGTTGCAAAAGGCATTGAAGATTGGACCAACTAATGAAATGGAATCAGGACATGGTTTCATAAAATAAGAGTGTTTTTTTGTAATTATTTATAGTTTCTTCCTTTTTTTATTTTTTTAACTTATTTATATTCCAAATACGGTTTGTCATTTAGCTCAACTTTTTATTTTGCCCCACATATCTTCTTACGGCTTCTTGGTTTAATAGGATAATAAAATTTCTAAAGCAGGCTGGTCTATGGCTTCCTTAAATTAACCCTGCCTCTTCTCTTACAAAAGTTACTAAAGGCAAATATAAATAATCATGACCAACATATAAAGATATGAATGAGATTTACAGAGAATAACTTTACTCAGTTATATAGCGTTACCCACAAAGGGAATTTACTAGCTTCAATTGAAAAAAAAATCCCATGACACCTATGATATTTACTTCTGTCATCTCCACATTCAAAAGAAAACAAACAGATTACCCACATATTTAATCACTTTTTATTTTACAAATGCTCTGTAAACAAAATGCTTCTCAGACCTATTCAATACAATTAAAATATAACATAGCTTTGCCAAAAGGTGTATTCCAAAGTTATCAGTTAGATTTATTAACTGATAAAGATTAGCAATTTAATGTGAATGTTTTCTTTAGTGAATATACAGAATTCTCTCAAAGTTAAATTATTAAAAACATACCTAAATTCACCTAACTCAAAAATGTAGTATTCTTATACTCAATATCTGCACATTCTCACATATACAAAAATATAATCTAAATGTTATTTTTAACAATATAAAATTTGTTTCTCTCTTTGTTATTGCCAAGATTGCACTGACTGTTGAAATATAAAAGAAAAACAGCATTAAATCAGGTGTGATAAAATCACCTTTTTCTGTTTATCTTCACTACTGGCATTTATTGGCACTTGGAAACTATTTATAAACTCATATTCTTATTGCTAACATCAATTATTATGCAAATACTTGAAATTTTTACTGACTTCATAAATAATGCATGAAAGTCTATAGACTTCAACTAGTGAGCATTATCTTTTGTGGTTTATAAATACAGAATACAGAATAAGGTATAGTTTGGATGAGTCTGAACAACAGATGTTTCTGCTTTATGAATTCTGGTCAAATCATTTGGAAAGAGTTTTGTTTATACAATAAGCATCTGCGTTTTGGAAAGTTAAACTAAAAATTATTTTGTCATTTTCTCTAATAGCTTGGGACCTACATAAATCTGTTAAGTTGACCTTAAATAGAACTGAAGGTGATAGTAGAGGTATTTAAAACAAGTTTGGATAGTTTTTACACATGTAAATCTATAACATACATTTACCAAAATCTAATATTTAAGAATTAATGGAAATTATACAGTTATTCCAACTCTAAAGTTTTATGACACAAATATATTACTTAGATAGTATCTTCACATTAATTTTGTTTAAAAATCTCCATTATGCTTTAGAGGGGATTTCAGTGAGAATATATATACCCCATCATATTTTATCAAGCTGAAAACTGATTATGCAACTTTTTGTAAGTACAGAGCAAGTTTAATCCATTTAACTCATGCCAGACTTCAGGCATTTAAGAATAACTATCAAGTATTCCTTTAAGAATTTTTCTTTACAGGCTAGTCATCCTTACTTCCTTCAAGTAATTGTTAATTTGCTTGATGCCAGGAGCTCTAAATTATGTAGAATTCATTTTACTAATTTCCATTATAATATATATTTCGTATATATCATTTGCTTCCTCAAAACCCACAGTTCAGTTTTTGCCACCCAGTTCTGAGGCATATTCTGATTAGTGAAGAAAAGCAGGTAGAAAACTCTTTTACTAAAAATAACCAAAACATAGTTGGGAGGAGGTGCTTAGGGCATACATTTTTGACCTTGTTTACCTCTTAGCCAATACTAAGTGCTTTCACATATAATCCTATAAAATGCTTCTCCTCCATGCTACACTTGAATAATCAAAATTTTGAGGTTATATATATATAATTTCACAATTGCCTTTTTCTTTCTCTATTCAACAAATTCTACCCCTTAGACACTGGCTTTCTCTGTTTCTTCTGTGGTAGTTGATAGAATTTTACCTATATTTATGCTAATAAATCAATTATCCAGCTATATTTTGCACAGGGGTCCTGCTAATCTTCTTGAATTCTTCCAATTTTAGTATACGTGCTGCCAAAGCAAGTGCCAGCTATTTTTGAAGAACTGATATGTACTCCTAAGAACACAAGATAAAGAGAATCCTAGGACTAAAGTTGGTAAGCCAGTTTTTTTTTTCCATTTCCTATTCTTTCTTTTTACTTCTCGTCTTCCATTCTAGAGCTGATTCACAGGAATCCTTCAAACACTTCTTGGATAGGTCTTTCTGGAGTCCCTTCAAAAGTTCCTGTTTATAGATGCACATAAGATATGAGAGGGTCTGAATTCTTCATGAGTCCATCTCTTTTGTTGGAACTCAAGAAAAGAGACTAGACTGGAGAGTAGAACTAGATTTTTTGAGTCATGTGTAAATAATGACTACACCGCATGTACACATTTAGATGCTGTCCCCAGTTCAAGAGTTCTGTCCACTGTCAAAATTCATGTCCACCTGGAACCTCAGAATGTGAGCTTGTTTGTAAATCAGTTTTTGCAGATGTAACTAGTTAAGATGAGGTCGTACTGGAGTAGAGTAGGCCCTAAATCCAATCACTAGTGTCTCTATAAGGAACACTTTTACACTGTTGGTGCGACTGTAAACTAGTTCAAGGGTTGTGGAGGTCAGTGTGGCGATTCTTCAGGGATCTAGAACTAGAAATACCATTTGACCCAGCCATCCCATTACTGGGTATATACCCAAAGGATTACAAAACATGCTGCTATAAAGACACATGCACATGTATGTTTATCACGGCACTATTCACAATAGCAAAGACTTGGAACCAACCCAAATGTCCAACAATGATAGACTGGATGAAGAAAATGTGGCACATATACACCATGGAATACTATGCAGCCATAAAAATGATGAATTCATATCCTTTGTAGGGACATGGATGAAGCTGGAAACCATCATCCTCAGCAAACTATCGCAAGGACAAAAAACCAAACACCGCATGTTCTCACTCATAGGTGGGAATTGAACAATGAGAACACATGGACACAGGAAGGGGAACATCACACACCAGGGCCTGTTGTGGGGTTAGGGGAGGGGGTAGGGATAGCATTAGGAGATATACCTAATGTTAAATGACGAGTTAATGGGTGCAGCACACCAACATGGCACATGTATACATATGTAACAAACCTGTACGTTGTGCACATGTACCCTAAAACTTAAAGTATAATTTTAAAAAAAAGAAAAAAAAAAGAAAGTGAAATTCAGACACGGAGACAGAGAAGCACACAAAGAAGAAGGTCATGCAAAGAAGGAGGCAGAGATAGGAAGAAAGCAGCTACAAACCAACCAGAACCAAGGATTTCTGAGAGCCCTCAGAATACTGGAAGAGGCAAGGGAAGTTCCTTCCCTAGAGCCCTCAGAGGAAGTACAGCCCTCAGAGGAAGCACCTTCTAACCTCCAGAACTATGAAAGAATACATTTCTGTTATTTTTAAGCCACCATGTTTGAGGTAATTTGTTACGGCAGCTCTAGAAAACAAATATACACAGGACTCTTCTTTCCAATAGGTCTGAAATATAAATGTATATTTATATACATCTCCTTGAATATATAAATATAATAGAGATTAAATATAACAGATTTATAGATTTATAAACATATAACAGATTTATATATTTATAAATATAAAACAGATTTATATAATTTTGTAAACACAAAATAGATTTATATAGTTTTATAAATGTAAATATATGCATATATATTTAATTTTTAATTACTAAAATTTTTTCTATAGGCTCTCAATAAGGCAAATACACAATGACCAAACAGAATAATAATTGCTTTTCATTTATAGATTATAAATGCTTTTAATTGATAGATTATAAAGAATTTCATTTATAGATTATAAAGAATTACTGTGGGCAATTAAATCAAAGCCTTTTCAAAAATGGTGCAAAACTAAATCTATAGTATTCAACTGATGTTTAATAAATATTAAACATTATTAATATTTATTGTTAATTTTAATTAATTTTTAATTAATAATTAAAATTATTAATATTTAATAAATATTAATAAGCATCTTATTCAACTGATGTTTAATAAATATTTCTGTGGATTATTCCTCTGAAATAATATTTTAAGAATACACATGCATAGACATAAATGTACATACATGGTTCAATGTGGTGTTTTATTCCTTGCCTATAATTACACGGGTAAAAAGAATGCATATTTATGCTGAAATGAAACCATTTTGCTTTCTAAAAAGAAACCCAGACACACATTTCTAAGTGCAATGACAGCAAATACTGATACATTCACATACATTCTTTTGTCTTTTGACCTTTTCAAGCAAAATCGTGCAAGTATATCTAGGTTACATCTGATTAGCTTTCACATGTTTTAGCAGGTTTTGAGAAATTTTGTTTTATAACTTTGATAAGGTTTGGCTGTGTCCCCACCCATATATCATCTTGAATTGTAATTCCCATAATCCCCATGTGTTGTGGGAGGGATCCAGTGCGAGGTAATTTAATCATGGGGGCGATTACTCTCATGCTGTTCTTGTGATAGTGAATTTGTTCTCACAAGATATCATGGTTTTATAAGGGGTTTTTCCCTTTTTGCTCAGCACTTCTCCTTCCTGCTGCCATGTGAAGAAGAATGTGTTTACTTCCCCTTCCAATATGATTGTATGTTTCCTGAGGCCTCTCCAGCCCTGTGGAACTGTGACTTAATTATACCTCTTTTCTTTATAAATTACCAAGTCTCGGGTATTTCTTCATAGCAGCATGAGAATGACTAATACAGAAAACTGGTAGTGCAGAGAGTGGGGCGCTGCTGTAAAGATACCCAAAAATGTGCAAACAACATTGGAACTGGGTAACAGGCAGAGGCTGGAAAAGTTTGGAGGGCTTAGAAGAAGACAGGAAGATTTGGGAAAGTTTAGAACTTCCTAGAGATGTGTTGAACGGTTTTGACCAAAATGCTTAAAGTAATATGGACAACTAAGTCAATGTTGAGGTCTTGATGGAGATAAGGAATTTGTTAGGAGTTGGAGTATAGGTCACTCTTGCTATGCAGGGAGACTGGCAGCATTTTGCCCCGCAGAACTTTGAACTTGAGAGAGATGATTTAGGGTATCTGGCAGAAAAAATTCTAAGTGCTAAAGCAATCAAGAGGAAGCAGAGAATAAAAGGTTTGAAAATTTGCAACCTGATGATGTGAGAGAAAAGAAAATCTCATTTTCTGGGGAGAAATTCAAGCCAATAGGGAAAATGTCTCGAGGACATGTCAGAGAACTTCACAATAGCCCCTCCCATCACAGGCCTGAAGCCCTAAGAGGGAAAAATGGTTTTGTGCCCCTCTTCCGACAACCCATGCAGCCTCAGGACATGGTGCTCTGCATCCCAGCTGCTTCAGCTCCAGCCATGGCTAAAACGGGTCAGTGTACAGCTCAGGCTGTTCTTCAATGGGTACAAGCCCCAAGCCTTGGCAGCTTACACATGGTATTGGGCCTGCAGGTACACAGAAGTCAAGAATAGAGCTTTGTGAACCTCTGTCTAGATTTCAGAGGATGTATGGAAATGCCTGGATACCCAGGCACAAGTTTGCTGTGGGAGCAGAGCCTTCATGGAGAGCCTCTCCTGGGGAAATGTGGAAAGGAAATGTGGGGTTGGAGCCCCACACAGCACTGTCTAGTGGAATAGTGAGAAGAGGGCCACCATCATCCAGACCCCACAATGGTAGATCCATCCACAGCTTGCACTGTGCACCTGGAAAGGCCACAGACACTGAATGTCAGCCTGTGAAAGCAGCTGAAGGGGGGGCATACCCTGCAAAGCCACAGGAGCAGAGCTGCCCAAGGCTGTGGGAGCTCACCTCTTGGAAAGGCATAACTTGGATGTGAGACATGGAGTCAAAGGATATCATTTTGGAACTTTAAAGTTTAATGACTGTCCTATTGGATTCTGGGCTTGAATGGGGCCTGAAGCCCCTTTGTGTTGGCCAATTACCTCTATGTGGAATGGATGTATTTAACCAATGACTGTATCCCCATTGTATCTATGATGTAACTAACTCACTTTTGATTTCACACGTTTGTAGGCAGAAGAAACTTGCCTTGTCTCAGATGAGACTTTGGACTTGAACTTTCGAGTACATGCTGGAATGAGTTAAAACTTTGGGGAACTGTTGGAAGAGCATGATTGTGTTTTGAAATGTGAGTACGTGAGATTTGGGAGGGACTAGGGGTAGAATGATATGGTTTGGCTGTGTCCCCACCCAAATCTCATCTTGAATTGCAGTTCCCATAATCTTCACATGTCATGGGAGGGACACAGTGGGAGGTTATTTAATCGTGGGGTTGGTTACCCTCGTGTTGTTCTTATGACAGTGAGTTCTCACCAGATATAATGGTTTATAAGGGGTGTTTCTCCCTTAGCTCAGCACTTCTGCTTCCTGCTGCCATGTGAAGGACATGTTTACTTCCCCTTCTGACATGATTGTAAGCTTCCTGAGGCCTCCCCAGCCCTATGGAACTGTGAGTTTATTGAACCTCTTATCTTTATAAACTACCCAGTCACAGGTGTTTCTTCATAGTGGTGTGAGAATGAACTAATACAATCTTTTTCAGCTTTTGTTTCTTAGGGATGCAATTCAAGTTAAGGTAAGAGAGTAGTGTAGTATAAATCAGCCTTGCTAAGACTTCTATAAATCATGAATTCAGCAGCTAATTCAAAGCACAATTTTGTATATGGTACAAAAGTATCTATTGTAGATGACTAATTTCAACTCTAACTATCAAAGTGACAAAAAAACGAGCTATCAACATCAGCCCTCCTCAAAAATGTATGCACTATTTTACTAATAGTAACAACTAAACAATGAGCAATATTAGGAAGATTAAAACCCATAATGTAATGTACTGTTTGACAGCCAAAGACTTTAACAATGTCCTATTCTTTCTAGTACCTCTGGACGCTTTATTCTTCTGCTAACGTCAGCCCTCCTAATCTTTCACATTACATTCCTATATTGCACCATTTCAGAATTTTCTGCCTCACAGTTGGAATGTTACCAGATACTCCTCAGTGTATGGACCACCTGCTATTGCTCTCAGCTCATGTTTGGAGAAAACTGGTTTATGTAAAATTTTATTTTTTTTCTTCTGGTAAATGAAAGCTAATTTGCAATATGTTTCCATGGGAAAATTCTAGGCATAAAAATTATATAACCACATCTAAAATTGCTAAACAATATTTTTTAAAATACTTAAAATTTAATGATAAATCATAGTCATAAGCCCATAAAATAAAGTAATATCAAAATGAAAATTAGGAACACAAAACTATGTGCTACAGGGAAAAATATAATCCAAAAGTTCTCAAACAGTCTACAATATCTATAAAATCTGTGTATTGAGTTTCTACTCTGCATTCAGCACTGTTTTATGCCCAAACATAATACAATATTCCTGTTTCAAGTGGAGAAGTTTGGGCTGTATATGGGATGTTGTTTCCATACATCAGTGGCCACTGAATAACAATAAAACTCACATTCTATTCTCATGAAGGCATGCTTGTAATGGCTACTGCCAAATGAGACTCTATTTTACAATAGGGTGTGTATTTCTTATGTATGTTTTATGTATCTCCCTTATTTAAAGGATTTCTTTCCATATGCTTTTCTTTTATTAAAGTTGAAGATTCTGTTCTACTTTACTTTTAGACAACTAACTTTTGTTGTTTATTCCATAGAGTCTCTATTTGTTTCTCACCAATCAATGTTGGGCATGAAGCCAGGCCCAACAGAAGCCCTTAGTCCATGGAGAATTACTTTTATTCACACTACCGTAAGAATTAGTATCTTAAAAATTTTCCAATATGTGAATGTAGTGCTTAGAAAACTTTAATCATTCTACATTGCCTTTGGCATTACAATTAAATATCTGGCTTAATATATAAAGCCTTTCACAATTTAACTTAATGGCAGTTATCTTCTCTCCATACAATTCACTCAACCTCAAAACTTAAAACTACATAACCATTCGTGGTTCTTTGCTTTTTTTTTCTGTTTGCCAGGCTGTATCTAAGTTATATCAGATTACTCAAGTGTCATCTCTTTTATACACCCTTTGTGATGCTTGCAGGGTGAATCTTTCCTATGGCTAATAGTTTATATAAACATCTATCATAGCTTATGTTTTTAGTTATATATTTACTTGCAGAACTTGTTCTTTGATTACAGGCATTCACCATACATGCCTCCCTCTGACTTCCTTCAAAACATACTTCAGTGACTGAACTCAACAGTCATTGTAGCTTAGTAGTAAAAACAACGTATTCAGGGGCCAAGATTCTTGCCTTTGGATCCCAGGGTCACGTACTAGCTGTCTGACCTTGAGCAAGTTACTTACTTAAACTTTCAGTATCATAAGTTTCATTACTAGTGTGCTCATACTAGTGTACAGCAGGTTCTTAAATAATGTTGTTTCATTCAACATCCTTCCATTGTAACATTGATGAGAAAAAACAAATTCCTGGTGGGATCCACTGCATGTATACAGTTTGCACCTTCTCCCCATGTCTGCGTGGGTTTTCTCTGGGTACTCTGGCTTCCTTTCCTATCTCAAAAATATGTCGTGTTCATTGGTGTATCTACATGGTGCTAAAATGACAGAGAGAGAGAAACAGAGAAAGAGAGAGAGAGAGTGTGTCTGTGTGAGTGTGCCCTTGATAGAACAGTGTCATGTACAAAGTTTGTTCCCACCTTGTACCCTGAGTTGCCCAGAAAGGCTTTGGACACCTGCGACAGGAACAAGAAGGCGAATAATTATCTTACTTGTTTTTATTAATCTTTCTTAAAAGTACATATAGCTCATGTTTATTTCAATATTTAATATTATAAATATTTTTATCTTTATTTAGAAGCTTGATGTTTTCATGAAAAGAATTATGTCATAGGAACTTGACTCTTGTTTATATCAATTACCCTATGATCAAGTTTGTTCCTATATAAGTTGTTTTGCATGAAGTCGTAGTTGTCAAGAACCTATGGAGGATGTTAAGTGAGGATTTGCAGTATAAAATTCTTAGGTTATTTGGAGAAAAATGACTTAATATAATTAGTCCCATAATGTAAAGATTTTAGAGATTGACGTGAAGTCAGTGTTTTATGAGGATATTAGAAAAAGACAGGTGAGAGACAGGATAGAAATAAGAAAAATAAATATTGAAAACATCGTTTCCAAGAAAGAATAATTTCTATATGTAATCATAAAATTGCAGTAATGGATGGATTTACTAAAAAATCTATTCCAGTGCTCAGATGAAGGAACTGAAGGCCTGTGAAGTCACACAAGTTTAAAGCAGATATAGGAATAAACTCCTATTTCACTGGTCTCTTCCAGAGAGGTTTTTGTTTTATCCTTGACTAAAGTCTGCAACGTGTTTTCCTTATGTCAAATCTTGCTCTTAATGTTTTTAGGCATTCTGTGACCTTTTGTTGACTACTTGACTTAGCTCTTTCTATTTGCCATTACTTTAAATGTATATTATAAGCCTGCATTGAAGTTTTTCAAAATAAAAACATACCCAAGCTGTTCTTTTCCACAGATGATTTGGGGAATAAAAAAGGAGAAATAATACAGTCTAATTTCACTATTGAAACAGAGATCAGTTGAACTAAAACAGAAGAATAAATGGGGTATAAAGCAGTCCACTAAGATATTCATAATTTCATACTGAACTCTTTAGGAATTGTGATTTCTTAACTAGATTCATTTATTTATTTGATAAAGTTTTACTGAATACCGGCTATGTGCCTGACTCATCTATTGATTAGCAAGATTAACATGGTTCCTACACTCACAATGCTCACATTTTGCTGTAGAATTCATAATAATAAAAATCATCATAATCATAAAACTTGAAATAGGGACAACTGATAGCCATGGAAGTACTTTTCTGAAAGGAGTAATATTACCATATTTCAGGTTTTAAAACGTCATTTCAGAAAAAATATTTGGAGACAGTTGGAAGGAAGGTAGAGTATATGCAAGGAGAAGGAGACAAACAAGATGCTAATGCAACAGGGCACCAAACACCAAGAAATAAGCAAGTAAAACATGGAGCGGGAATCCCAGTTTTTTGCAGAAGATTAAAAGAGAAGCCTTGAGAGACATGTATTTGGTATAATACACAAAATATCATCATGCATTTAATATAGGGAGTGAGGGAATGAAAGGCATCAGAAATAACTTTCATCTCTCTGGCTTGAGAAACATTGAGTAGACAATGGTGGCATTTAATGAGATAAGGAAAATGGAGAATAATATATTTTATCGAGGTAGCGAGTTGAAGGATGATATGAATTTTGAACCACTGAGTTTGAAGTGCACTTGAGGAACTCCAACGTGGGAGAGTGTTAAATAGCCAATGCTAATTAGAAACATTCATTGAAAAATGTATTTTTAGGAGAAATCATGACATTAAAACTAGAAAGAACATATTTTTGAATAATACCATTTATATTAATGTCTGATAAACAGATACAAAGTGCCTAAAGGATTCTTTTTTATAAATTATTGATCATTCATTTAAATGATACTAGATTAGAGAATATTTACATCACCTGCTATAAGAGTGACAGCATATTAGCCAATGGTATTCATGCTCGACTATGCAATTCAGAAGCAACATCAAAGAATATTCTTCATTGTGTTCATAAACTTTCTCTTAAGTGAATAATAAAGAAAATGTAATGCCTAGCAACATTTTCTAGCAATTATTCTTCTGCAATGCATGAATACATATTTGTGCTATTGTAGCATTAGGTTCAACCTAATTAACTCAGAAAATCATTTATGCACAATAGCCTATCTTTCATGTACAGCAGATCATGTACATTTTCTTTACTTTTTGCAAGTTGTATGTAACATTAGCACACAAAAAAATAGTGGTTGTGGTTCTCGGTTCTTAGCACTGCTGTTTATCACATCCATGTCCATGCTAGTTTTTCCATGTGTGATTTAACTACCAAGTTAACCATTTGAGATTAGACCATCTCTTGGATTTATGACTCTGTGCCTATAATATTCGAGCTGCCTATAGGTCTTTATAAGCATATATAGCAACACATGTTGTCAACAACAACAACTGCTTAGATATTAAATAGCTGAAACCTCTGGAATTAGGCAAACTGTGTGCAAATATTAAATATTGCTTCAGACCTTGAGAAACTTTTTTTCAACTACCTGTGCACATATTTCCTCACCTGTAAAATGAAACCAATGATAAAACAGAACCTCCTTCTTTGGACTATAGTAAGAATTTAATATTTAATTTTTAACAAATTCTTATGGTAAGGACTTAATATTTAATTCTTGACAAATTCTTATGGTAATGTTTAATTCTTACCAAATTCTTATGATAAGGATTTAATATTTAATTCTTACCAAGTTATTAGGGTAAGAACTTAATATTTAAAATATTCATTTTTCAGCATATATGAAGTTCTTAGAATACCTACTAGCATATGATAAAATCTTAGAGAAATTTAACAATTTTATTATAAATTAGATTGCTTAATATATAATCATGTTACATGAGTTGAGATAGTCAATGCAAATAAAAAATAATCTTCACTGGTTATCCTTTTATGTTACTCAGCTTTCAATTTCTCATACCATCTCAAAGAAAATGTAGCTAGTAGTTATTTTTCAGAATCTGAGAAGTGTTCTGCAAATGTGCGTAATAATTTTTGTCAATGTTGAAAATCTTTAGGACTTTCTGTAAAGTCGATATTTAATGAGTTGAACTATTGTCTTTAGCATTTATGTCCTAATTTTTGGAAGGAAACACACACACACATATATATATATATAAAATGAAATCCTATCTTACTTGACCTAAAACTGCACAAAAATTTATATTTGCTGCGTTTATTTTGCATTGGTAATATCAATTTTCTTCCATCTGAATACAAGTCATTTGGAAAATTCCTTACATCCAAGTTCTTCAGCTCCTATTTGTTAATCCTTTCTTTCTTTCTTTTCTTTTCTTTTCTTTTTCTTTTTCTTTTCTTTTTTTTTTTTTTTTTTTTGAGATGGAGTCTCTCTCTGTTACCCAGGCTGGAGTGCAGTGGCATGATCTTGGCTCACTGCAAACTCTGCCTCCCAGGTTCAAGGAATTCTCCTGCCTCAGCCTTCCCCAGTCTGGAAATACAGGCACGTGTCACCACACCTGCTTAATTTTTTTTTTTTTTTTTTTTTTTTTTTTTTTAAGTAGAGACAGGGTTTTGCTATGTGGCCCGGCTGGTCTCAAGTTCCTGACTTTGTGATCTGCCCACCTCGGCCTCCCAAAGTGCTGGGATTACAGGTGTGAGCCACCTCGCCTGGACTATTTGTTAATCTTGATCTTGTTATATATCAACTGCTGGGTTGCTCCATGATTTTCACATTCTCTTCCTTTAGTTTGTATTGTGTTGGTTTTTGTTTCTTTCATAAAACACTAAAAATGTTTACATCATTTTAAAACATTTCAAACATAAAACAATATCCTAAGTAGCTTAACAGTAGAGTCCACACATGTTGGGTATTAACGTAAAAACTTTTAAGCTCGTTATAAGATCAATCAGTCTGTTCATATCAGTACTCAATGAGAACATTAACATGTTCAACTCTGTTCAGTCATTAGAGAAGCATATATAAAACATATTCCAAAAATCTAATAAGCTGAGTGAATGCCAATAGGCCAGTAAATATTGATATAGGATGTTGCTTTGATGGTACCAATTTCATTTTATATATTGTAAGGACTTCCACCTACTATTAGAGTAAATTTCAAGCTATATAATCTCACATTAAGTGTCATTTGCAATCTGAACCCAACAATTCAAAATAATTATGTTTTACCAACTCTAATAATAATAAGACAAAAAATAATGGCTATTACTTATCAGTAAGCAATCTGAGACCTAGTAAGGATAGATGACTTATCCAGGGTCATAGTGTTAGCTGGTGAGAGAGCCAGGAGTTGAAATGAGGTGGTTTGGCCTCAGAAACTTTGCACTAAGCCCCTAAATGTATTAACAACACTACGCCAAAGCCTTGCCAGGAAGCGTTTCACCATCTTCCAGTGGGAAGCCAAGTAAACATAAACTTTTAATAAAACTGTCTGAGTACTGTCAGAGAGGTATAAACACTTCTACCAGACAGTAATTTTTTTCACCATCCTGGAAGACCCTCAAGGTCAGGGATTATATTTTATTTGACTTTGTATTCCCAGAGCCTCCCATGACACCTACCCCATAGAGGACCTCATTAAATGTGTGCTGTTGTTTTATAGCAAAGTGATTCCAAAGCGGTAGTAGGGCTAGAGAAAAAAAAAGGCTTTACAGTATGTACGAGCGACATTTGAACTCCGTCTTAAAAAAATAAATATAGGTACTCAAGGAAGAAACACAGAGAAGAGGACATTTGAGACAGAGAAAACAACATGTGTGAACAAGGCCTGAAGTGGGAGAACAATGGATATATCTAAATAATAGGCGTTTGGATGTAGGGAAGCCAGAGATAGTGTCGGGCAAGATTCTGGACAGGGGTTTGTGGCGGTTTAGGAAGGAAAACCTTTATGTCAGGCTTTCACCTTCATAGCTTCACCTGCACAGCCAGGGCTCTGTTGCACTGGAATCAGTAGAGGGAATGGGTACAGTTTCAAGAAGCTCTCCAAGAGCTGGGAACACCCTATTTGTGCCTCAGCGTGGTTGAAATTTAGTCTCTCCATTTATGAGCATTACAAATTTTAATAAAATGCAACAAGGGCACAGTTGGGGAGAGGTTATAAATGACTAAAACAAAAGGAGATTTTAATATTGAAGAGTATAGAATTAAGTTTTCAAAAAGTTCGAAACAGAGTGCTTATATATAAATATAAAATAAATAAATGTGATTGACATTAATTTATTAATAACAAAACTTGCAAGAAGATAAATCTGCTTACCTGGTTTTAAGCATTGAGAGGAACTAGGAGTTTATATGCATTTTGGGGGAAATATATTTAAATAATATTTTTGTGTTTACACAGAATAATTATAATAGCTTACAGATAGTAAAACTATCATATTTGGGGTTATTGTCTCCCCTAGACAAAATCTATAACTAACATCTATATTTACAATGTCTAGGCTCTCATCAAATAATAAATAGTGAAGTCAACATAGGTACCTTATCCCATGTAATTCATTAATCTTTACACAAGCCTCTTAAACAGTGCTCCAGTATGATAGTAAAATACCATGTCTTCCCTCTCCGGTTGACCTTATTTCCAAGGTTGAGTATCTAGCTAGCTAGCTATTTTAAACAAGAGCAACCTAATTCTATTGATTTAAAAGACAGAATAATGATCACTGCAGGAGACAGAGAAAGTGAACAGTTAAAAAAGATGTTTCACTAAGCTAAGGGAGGAAGGAGGGCCTAAATTTAGTGTTGGAGATTGAGGTTATGATACAAGGTTTACAGACTAAAAAGCAATAACATGCCATGAAGTAGTTTAACCTTTTATGTTTTCTTGCCTCTGTACTTCTGCACCCTCTCACACCACTACATTTGTCTGCAATATATTTCCCTTATCCTTTTTAAAATAAAGTTTCACTTTTAATAATTAAAGGTACATAATAGGTATATATATTTCTATCTTATTATTGATACATAGCATTTGTATATATTTACAGGGGACATGTGATTTTTTTGTTACACGCGTATAACATGTAATGATCATGTCATAGTATTTATTCCCTAGAATACTTTTCATCTCAATGCGTTAAAAATATTTCAAATACTCTCTTGTGTCTATTTAGAAATATACAGTACATTGTTGTTTAGTAACTAAAGTTTACTCTCAATCACTGGAAATTATTCTTTCTGTTTAAATGTATGTTTAGACCCATTAACCTACTCTCTTTATCCTTCCCACATACATTTCCTAGCCTCTGGCATCTAGCATACTAGTCTATACCTTCATGATATTACCTTTTTTAGCCCCACATATAGTGAGAACATGTGATAATTGTTTCTGTGCCTGATTTATTTCATGTAACATAATGACCTCCATTTTACCCCATGTTGCTGCAACTAGTGTTATTTCATGCATTTTTATGGCTGAATAGTTTTTCATTGTGTGCCAATACCATATCTTCTTTACCCATTTGTTGGTTGATGGACACTTAAGTTGATTCCATATCTCTGTTATTGTGAATAGTACTGTAATAAACATGGGGGTGCAGGTATCTTTTTGATATACTGATTTCTTCTCTTTTGAATAGATATCTGTTAATGGCATTGCTGGAACATAGAGCAGTTCTATATTTACATTTTTGAGAAATCCTCATACTGTTTTCCACACTGACTGCACTGATTGACATTGCCACCAACAGTGTATAAGAGTTCTTTTTTCTCCACATCCTCCCCAGCATTTATATATATTTTTTGTCATTTTGATAATAGCCATTCTAACTGGGGCAAGATGGTATCTCATGATTTTGATTTACACTTCCATGATGATTAGTGATATTGAACATTTTTTCATATATATGTAGGTTCTCTGTATGTCTTATTTTGAGAATGTCTAGTGCCCATTTTAACAATGTGTTGAGATCCTTGTATAATCTGGATATTAGTCCCTTGATGAAAGAGTAGTCTGCATATATTTTCTCCCAGTTCTACAGATTGTTTCTTTACTCTGTTGATTGTTTCCTTAGCTGTGCAGAAATTTTTCTGTTTTTGTTGCTTGTGTTTTTTTAGGTCTCAGCCATAAAATCTTTGCCTAGATCAATGTCCTGAAGTGTTTCCCCAAAGTTTTCTTCCAGTAGTTTTATAATTTTGGGTCCTAACACTATGTCTTTAATTGATCTTGGCTGATTTTTCTATGTAGTGAGAAATAAGGGTCCTTTTCATTCTTTCCATGTGGATATCTGATCTTGCCAACACCATTTATTGAAGAGGGTGTATTTTCCCTAGTGTAGGTTCTTGGTGTCTTTGTCAAAAATCAGCTGGCTGTAAATACACAGATTTATTTTTGGACAATCTATTTCTGTTTTATTTGTCTGTATGTCTGTTTTTGTATCAACATTATGCTGTTTTGGTTGCTATAGCCTTGTAATATCTTTTGAAGTCATGTAGTGTGGTGACTCCAGTTTTGTTCTTTTCACTCAGGATTGTTTTGAATATTTGGCCTCTTTATGGGTTCTACATAAATATTTTTCTATTTTTGTAAAATTGCCATTGGCGTTTTGATAGAGATTGCAATGAATTTGTAGATTGTTTTGGTATGGTCACTTTAATGATGTTAATTCTTCCAATCCACGAGCATGGAATCTTTCCATTTGTTTGTGTCCTCTTCAATTGCTTTTATCAGAGTTTTGTAATTTTCCTTGTAGAAGTATTTCAGCTCTTTGGATTACTTTATTTCTAGGTATTTTATTGTAGCTGTTGTAAATGGGATTGCCTTCTTGATTCTTCTTTCTTAGCTAATTCATTACTGGTATATATGAACACCGATTTGTGTATGATTAATATTGTATCCTGTAACTTTATTTAATTTATATATCAAATCTAAGAAATTTTAGGTAAAATGTTTAGATTTTCCTAGATAGAAGATTATATCATCTGCAAAGAGGAAAAATTTAACTTTTTCTTTTCCAGTTCGAATGCCTTTTATTTTTTTTAATCCATCTGATGATGCTGGCTAGGCCTTTGAGTACTATGATGAACTGCAGTTGGGAAAGTGAGCATCTTTATTTTTTTCCAGTTCTTAGAGGAATGGCTTTCCACTTTTTCCCTTTCAGTATTATGTTAGCTATGAGTTTTTCACATATGGCCTTTGTTATGTTGAGGTATGTTCATCCTATGCCTAATTTGTTGAGTTTTTATCTTAAAGGATGTTAAATTTTCCCTATTTCTCTGTGTCTATTAAGATGATGATAAGATTTTGTCCTTCACCCTCTTTATGTGATGTATCACATTTATTGATTAGCATATGTTGAGCAATCTTTGCATCTGTGGAACAAATCCCATTTGATTATGGTGCATTATCTTTTGTTACTGTTTGTTTCAATTTGATAGTATTTTGTTGAATTATTTTGCATCTTTGTTCATCAAGGATATCAAGCTGTAGTTTTTTTTTTTTTTTTTTTTTTTTTGGTTATTGTTTTTAGACTCTTGTCTGGTATTGGTATGAGGGTGATGCTGGCCTCACAAAATAAATTGGCTGAAATTCCCTCCTCCCCAAATATTTAAAATAATGTCAGGAGAAATGGTGTTAGATCTTCTTCGTAAATTTGGTCAATTTGTCAGTGAAGCAATCCAGTCTCAAACTTTTCTTTGTTGGGAGACTTTTTATTGTTGATGTAATCTTATTACTCATTGTTGATAAGTTCAGGTTTTCTATTTCTTCCTAATTCAATATTGGCAGATTATATTTTTCCAGGAACTTGTTCATTTTTTCTAGGCTTTCAAATTAGTTAGTGTAGGGTTATTCGTAATCGTCTCTGGTGATCTCTTGTATTTCAGTGCTATCAGTTGTAATGTCTCCATTTTTCTGATTTATTTGGGTCCTCTTTCTTTTTATCTTCATTAGTCTAGTGAGCAGTTTATAAATTTTATCTTTTTTTGGAAAACAACTTTTTGTTTTGTTGACCCTTTGTATTATTATTTTCAGCCTGTATTTTGTTTAGTTCCACTTTGATTTTTTATTATTTCTTTCCTTTTGCTAATTTTGGTTTGGTGTGTTCTTGCTTTTAAAATTTATTGAGGTGTATCATTAGATTGTTTATTTGAAATCTTTCTACTTTTTAATGTAGGCGTTTATTGCTAAAAACTTTCCTCTTAGTATTGTTTTTTTTCTGAATACCATAGTTTTTGGTATGTTATGTTTCAATTTTCATTTGTTTCAATACATTTTTTGATTCCTCTCTTAATTATATTCTTGACCCAATGGTCATTTAGAAGCATGTTGTTTAATTTCCAAATATTAATATAGTTTTCAAAGTTCTTGTTATTTTTTATTCCACTGTGTTCTGAGAAGATACTTGGTATATTTTGATTATTAAAAAAATTGAGACTTGTTTTATGTCCTACAATATGGTCTATTCTTGAGAAAGTTCTATGTGCTGATCAGAAGAATGTGTGTTCTACTCCTGTTGGATGAAATGTTAGGTAAAAGTATTTTATGTTTATTGGGTTTAAAGTGCAATTTAAAGGCAATGTTTCTTTTTTGATGTTTTTGTCAAGATGATCTGTCCAATGCTGACAATGGGGTACTGAAGTCCCCCAAATATTACATTATTGCAGTCTATTTGTCCTTATTGATCTAATAATATTTGTTTTATATGTCTGGGTGCTCCAGTGTTTGCTGTGCATATATTTACAGTTGTTATATTCTTTTGCTGAATTTATTCCTTTATAATTGTATAATAACCTTGTCTCTGCTGTTTTTGATTAAAATTCAACTTTATTTGATATAACTGTAGCTACTCCTGCTCATTTTTTTGCTTCCATTTGCATGGAATATCTTTTTCCATCCCTTTACATTCAATCTATATGTTTCTTTACAGGTGAGATGTGTTCCTTGTAGGCAGCATATGGTTGAGACTTTGTAATTTTTAAAATTCATGTCTTTTTGTTTGTTTGTTTTAGATTCTTGCTCTGTTGCCCAGTTTGGACTGCAGTGGCACGATCTCTGCTCACTGCAAATTCCACCTCCAAGGTTCAAGCTTTTCTCCCACCTCTGCCTCCTGAGTAGCTGGGACTACAGGCACGCACCACCACATCCGGCTAATTTTTGTATTTTTGATTGAGACCAGATTTTACTATGTTGGCCAGGCTGGTTTTGAACTCCTGACCTCAAGTAATCTGCCCGCCTCAGCCTCCCAAAGTGCAGGGATTACAGGCATGAGCCAGCATGCTGCCCCCATCCCTGCCTTTTTTTAACTATTAAGCCAGTCTATATCATTGAACTACAAAATTTAATCAATTTACATTCAACTTTATTTTTATATGTGAGGGCTTAGTCACATATAATTCACCACACATACATGCAGGTGGTGGTGAAGTCTTGCTGGGGACAGGGCCATCAGGTGGGCCAGTCTTTGGCCCCCATTGGCGGCAGTGCAGGTCAATTATGTCTTTCCCTAATTTTCAGGGCTGCATACACTAGCACTGGTGTCAGCAGGTCTATGTAAGCAGGTCTATGCAATTCTGTTGTCCCTGTGTGGCTTGCTTGGGTGTTGGCAGTGACAGTGATGAACTGGGTGGGTGAGTGGGTCCTCTGGCTCCAAGGCAGTGGGTTTGGTGGTAATAGTAGTGGAGGGTCAATCCTCTGACTCTCAAGCCATCTGTACTGGTGTTGGTGGTGGCTGTGACAGGCTGCAATGGCCAGTCTCTAGGCTTGCAGTTGGTGCATACATGCGGGTACTAGCTGTGGTGGTAGCATAGGTTGAGTGGACTCATTTTCAAGCCCCTGGAAATAGTGCTCAGCTGCTAATAGTGTAGGTGGGGCAGGATGATACACAGGCCCTTGAAGGGTGTGCTTGTGCACTCAGGAGGGTAGAGCTACATCACATGGGCCTTCCCTCAGCCCCCCGGTAGTGTTTACAGTCACTGGCTGTGGTATACAGGGGTGGAGTGATCCCCAAACCCCCAACAGAATGTTTAGATGAAGGTGGCAGAAGCTGCACTTGCAGCACTGCTGTGGGGTTGGGGTGGGGAAGCAGAGGTTACTTTCAGTTTTAGTACACACGAGCAGATAGCTGAGGAATGCAAGTTTCAGCCCTAGGTGACAGCTATAAACCGGGCAGCCTTTCTTCGGGGTGCTTTTAAGCGTGTGGCGACCCTGCTGCTAAAGGTTGCTGGGTCACTGTCAGTGCCTCATGCTTTGGTCCTAGCAACAGTAGCCACCAGTGGTGCCTGGCTGCAGGTGGGGGAGGTCAGTGGCGTTCTAGGAATCTGGAGAGGCAGAAGTTGGACTCTAGGGCAGGATGCAAACTGGTGGGGACTGGGCTCTCAAAATAGCACTCTGCTGTGGCTGCTTAGGCTTCAGTGTGGGTATGGCACCCATTCTTAACTCCCTTCCCAGAGCAATGCTCTTGCCATCCCCATGCAGCTTCCTATGATAGTTTCAGTGCCCATATGGGTTGAAGGACTCTACCATGGCTAAGATTTCAGGAATCTGCTGTGGAAATGTGGACCACTGGGGAGCATTTGCTTACTCTTTCTCCAGACTAAGGAGCCTCTGCATACTCCTTGCCAATTGTAGCCAAGCGGGCTGCCTCGCTTTGGTCTCCTTTCTTGCCTTAGGTGTTTTCTGTCACATCTCTGTTGAATTCCAGCATTTTTTCTTAGGTGATCTATTCAAAGTGTCATTATCTACTCCTTATTTTGTGAAGGAGGTGAGTACCGGATGCTTTCCATCAGCCATTTTGAAGGCGCCCCTTCATCTCTTTATTCACTGATCAGGTACAAAGACCCTTGAAAAATGAATGGGTTAAGGGCATCAACACCCCACACAATTGAAAAACCATACGTGATTTTTGGCTACTCCAAAAATTAACTAATATCCTTCCCTTAACTAGAAGTCTTACTGATAATATATTCAATTAACATATAATCATTCTGTATGTTACATGTATTGTACAATATAGTTTTACAACAAAGCAAGCTAGAAAAAATGTTATTAAGAAAATCACAAGGAAAAGAAAACATATTTATTGTGTATTAAGTGGAAGTGGATCATCATAAAGAACTTCATCCTCATCCTCTTTAAGTATGCCAAGGAGGAGGAAGAAGAACAGGGGTTGGTCTTGCTGTCTCAGTGGTGGTAGAAGCAGAAGAAAATCCACATATAAGTGGATGCACAAAGCCCAAACTTGTGTTTTTTAACAGTCAGCTGTATTTTTTCTAAAAACGCTTCTCAGGCTATCCAAACCTAAATAAACATGTATTTATTTTAACTACTGTAGAAACTATTGCCATGCAATCATTTAGCAATTACTCATACAATGTCTTATATTAGTTTCTGTTTTATGTGAGCAGCTATTTAGATCTACTTTTGTTTAATTTTCTGAAATTATTTAATAGAAGATTTTATACTATTGGCATATAGTAGGCATTTAAAAAATAGCTGACTTATTGCAGAATCTTCTATTTTAAATTTTATTTATATTTTTTGATTTTTTTTTTACTATAGAATATAGTTTCCTGCATATTCATTACAAAAACATGAGGTATGATAAAAGAGCAAAGTGTTATATTTAAAATTAATCCTTCAAACAATGAATCAAGTGTAACAATATTTCCCTAGGTCAGAAACTTTAAAATACTTAATTTTATAAGTTAAAAAGAATGTTTTGGTAAATACTGCAAAATACTTTTAAAATTAGAGCTGTATATTTTTAAACATCTTTTTTTCAAAAAAGTAATTATACATATTTTGAGTAATGCTCAGTCATAGCACAGAATATAAAACATAATTTTTATATGACACTCTGATTTATGAGAGCACAAATTACTTTTTAGCATTAAGCCAGTGCAATCATGTGGGTCACCTTCCAAATATAAAGAAATAGGGGGAAAGGAAAGTGGGCAACTTAGTAGGCTATGAATAAGGTCTAAAAGAGTGTGTTCTTATATTTATGTTACAAAAATAAAGTGTGTCCTTTTTGAAAACAAATCTTAAATATATTTTCAGGCAGATTCTACATATTGTTCTGCTGCAAAAAATGTTGTTTTAACATGTTTCCCCTAAACTGCATGACTTAGAACTAAACATAAAAATGGTATTTGGTTGCTGTTCCAAATGTTATGCAAAAAAAAAAAAAAATCAATTTGATGGGAAAACTAGACAAATTAGTCAGTGGGAATTAGGTTTATTAAGAAATTTCACCTAATTTTTGTTGCTTTTAATAGTTGCAGTTTTAACTGAGTGTGAAGAAAAGTTGCCAAGATGACATATGTCACATGTTTCTTCAATTCATACATCCTCAGGCACTAGCCAAAAGCCACTGTATGTGTGTTTTTTTCAAAACCCACGTATGAAACAACAGAAATTCCTTTAATAAATAATGATTGTTATCTACTATGTATCAGCCAATGTGCTAAGCATTGGAACCCTCAAGAACGTCATGATCTGCAAGGAACATATAAGAGACACAAATCCAGAAAAATTAAAATTAAAATAAAAACGCATGGCAGTGATAGCAACAGGCACAGTGGATTGTCGTCAGGAAGGACGTGGGGTCAAAAGAAGATTTCAGAAGGAAATAATAACTGACCACAGTTTTAGAAAATGGGAGCGAGCCTGGAAAGGAGTGGACAGGTGTTTATGCAGACAGAGTTGCACATAGGTAGAGGCATGGGAAGAGAGGAATGACCAGATGGTAAAATATATCCTATATACAGAGGAGCATGTAAATTATCTTCACAGTTGAAAAGAGTTATTTTTTAAAATAAACTCTTCTATAACCATTCTTCACCATTTTTAGAGTAAAAAATTGTTGATTTAAAAATGTGAGGAAACACAGACTTCTACATAATTGTGTACTTTGTTTCACCTAAATGCAGGTGACAGATAGACCTCAGTGAGGTGGCTTTCTTTTTAATACAGAATTTTTATAGATCAGTTTTAGATAATGGCCACAGGAGTCATTAAGAGCCGGAAAATGGTAAGAAGAGACAACACTAGCTTAAAGTGAATGCAAACACATACTCTTTGAGATTTTGCCAGATACGAGTCAAAAATACCTTTTGAGGAAGAAGTTCTAAGAAAGTAAAACATAAGCAAGAATATCTTTTTTAAGGGGATATTTGGAAGCATATTGAGCAAGTTATTGCCAACTAAAACATATCCAAAGATACTGGATATTGTCCTTGATAAATGTTCTAGAAACTTTTAGGACTGAGAAATACTAGGGTAAGCAATGAAGAAAGAGTTGGAGAGAAAAAATTTAATGGTCATTTTGTTTGAGATGAGAATGAATTTTCTCGTCTGTCTCTCTGTTTCTGAGCACGCTATGACTGTATGCAAGATTTTCCTACTTAACTTCACAGTTTTCCTTCTATTTTATTGTTAACACTTCCATTCTCACTAATGTGGTTGGTAAAATAAGTACTTTAATTATTTGCTTGCACATTCAATATTAAAATACCATGCTGTCTTCAGTTTATTATGAGTTCAATTTTCAAGACACTATAAAAATAATATAACAATCCATTAAAAGGGTATTCTAAAATATTTTGTCATTAGGTTATTATTTTATTATCTTCAAGTAAACAAGAAATACATGAGTAACCCTCAGCATATTATAAAAATGTGCCAATAAATTTAAAGAAAATTTATAAACATAGGAATTCTAATAATTTTTCTATATACATGAAGGTGATTATTCCAAATTCCATTAGATTTTCTAAAGTATTATATATTTTGTTATTTTTAAATTCTCTATAAACATAATTGTGAAGCCACTTTAATCAAATAATTAGAAACAATAATTTGCAAGCTTGCAAAAGAACACATTACATATACATCTTTTAAACAATTAAAATCTAAAGAGTGATTCCTGATAAAGTAAATTTAGTGTAAACAGAAATGCAAATAAATAAAACTTTCATTTCTATATTCGAATTGCAAAAAAATTTGCAATAATGAATATGCTATTTTTCTTGCTTGTAAATTATGGTCAAAAGATGTCTGCTGAATCCATCACAATAGTATCCTAATTTCTCAACTAGAAGAAATTTTAGCAATAAAAATTAAGTTTAGAATGATACCAAAGCTTAGATTCTTCAATACAAAGAAAAAAAAATAGTCTCAAATCAATCCTTGTTTTACAGATGAGGAAAAATTGGATCCAAAAATATTAAGTGATTTGTTCAGTTATCCAGGTAGGAATTTCAGGATCAAAACAGGAATTGGGTTTGTTATGTCAAATCCTATGCTAAAGCCTGTAAATAAGCTTCTTCCAGGTCATTAAGTCACCTCTATGAAAGTATTTATCTCAGTAGTTCATATGATGACGATCCTTTTTAAATGTAATCAACTAAGGTAGTACTCCCTAAGGATAGGGTTAAACACAGCAGGTTCTCAGGACAGGCTGCTGATAAATAGACAGAGATCTAAGTGTGTAGTAAGGAAGAACAGTCTATGACTGAGTTAGTTAATGGACGAAGTATAATCCATAGGAATTTTTTATATGCCTTTGAATTACATAATTTATTAACAAAACACTAAACAAAACATAAACCTCTCTGAAGCTACAAATGTCACATGACTGAAATCCTGGCATATTTTGCTAAATAGAATACAGTAAACAATCAACACTGATTTTGATAAAATGTTTCGAGGTTTTTCAATGAAACAAATTCTTTGAACAGAGTGAAAATTAATTTTTACAGATTATATCAATACAAATGTTACATAAAACAATTTCTTAAAAGGAATAAAAACTAAGTTCTACAGATTATATAAATACGTCCAACCTCTTTTACATGGAAAACAGTATGAAATTTAGCCTATTCTGATATGTTTTCACAATTTTATATAATCTACAACTTATTCTCCTAAACTTTTTTTTAATGTTAGACTTTTAATTGGGCTACTTACAACAAAGAACAAAATGTTTTATCATACATTTTTCCAAGTATTTTATATAAGTGTAATTAAGTTTCATCATGCAGGTTCAAGTCGCATTGCCACGATTAAGTGGCTGTGAACTATTGATTTGACTTATTTAACATTTCAGTAACGACTAATGCCAGTGATTATTGCACTGTATGGAAGTTGCAAAAAATAATTATAATATTCAACGTTTATTTTACTTGAAACTTAAAACTTTATTTAAGAACATGACCAGCCATCTTAATTTACCTTCTAACTAAATCATTGTTTGAGTTGTATATGTTTGGAAAATTTATGTAACATTTTTAAGCCTTAATATCACTATTTATAAAATTCCGATTACAATTCTTACTTGCAAGATCCCTATACATATTACAGATTATGCATGTAAAGCAACTAATAAAGTGTTTGGCACCCAAATCTTAATTCACTTGCATTTAATCATGCTGGACCTATACAGACCTTTAAACAGTACAGCAATTATAATCATATTATATTTTTTTCTGAAATATATCTTATTTATACATATTTATTCAGATAAGCAAAACATAATTAGCAGAAATAAAAATCAGTGTCATTTATTATCATTTTTGCATTGCCTCTGAGGGCAAGAGATTTCTATTAGAAAACTGGTATCTGTGATATTTATGGACATAGCTGCAGGTAAAGATGATGATGATGATTGTGCAGGAATGCCATATGAATTATTTCAAAAGTGGTAATAAACTTATATTGATCCATTTTTACATAAACTGTCAACAAATTCCCCCAAGGCCAGGCCTTAACCCATTATATATATATAATGAAAGTGTTAAAGCTTGTAGCATAGGTCCTGGAAGTGCCCTATAAATGTAATCACTATGCATATTGGATGTAATCACTATGCATATGATATATATACATATATGCATATATATATGCATAGTGATTACATATATATATATATATGCATAGTGATTACATTTATAGGGCACTTCCAGGACCTATGCTACAAGCTTTAACACTTTCATTCATAATAAGTTACATGGTCTTTTTATAACACTATGATAAGGCTATTTTCTCTACTTAATAAATGAAATACTTAAGTGCCTGACTGAAGATTACACACATAGCATAACCAGATTGCAAATATAGGGAGTCTGAATCCACAAGGCATACACTCAAGGCCCCTCATGCTGCCTGATGTTGCTGCTGTAGAAAGGACACAGATAAATAGAAAGTACCATGACTGACTGTTGTCTAGAGTTCTTTATCTCTGTATTTTGAAATCAACAGATTATCTAATGGATTAAGATAACATAATCATTTTCTTTCAGATGAACAGCTGTGATCAATTTAGCAGGTGGTAACTTTTTTTCCCCAGTGAAATGGGAAAATGTTAGGGTACATTACAGGTAATAAGGTAAATTATTTGATAAAATTTTCATTTCAGTTGCATATATGCATGTATGTATACTGGATCATTATATAAAAGGTGTTTCTTTTAGGTTATAATCCAAAGAAGTTTTGAAAGCTGAGTTTTTTTAAAAGGGTGATCAGAAATTTGGAGGAAAGACAGAATTGTTTGTTCATAACATGTACTTTCAATTTTGTGGTTATGTTTCAACTCTTTACACTATTTACCTTCAGACTTCTAGAAACCTTTTCTACACTCCAGGTTCTTTTTGTGGTCATCTGTTATTCTGTGGTCATCTATGAATGAACAAGCATACAGGCCCATCATGGGGTCAAACCTGTAATCCTGATTCCATCATCACTCTTCTCTCCTATCTTCAATTTGTCATCAATTTCTAAAGATATATTAGATTTGCATTCTTCTTTCCAGTATCAAATTTTCATTAATTTATTTCAGACACCATTTCTCTTTCCTTAATTTCTGTTCCAACTTCCTTCTTTGCCTCCAGCCTATCTTGTTTAATCCATTCTCCTTAGTGCTACTGAGGGAGCCTCCTAATCCATAAATAGGATCATGTTACCTCCCTGATAATTTATTTACATCTTTCTCATTAAGCTGACAATAAGGTGAGGCTCTTCATGGTTCAGCTGTAACTTACTCCAGCCTTATCTCTCAGAACTCATGACTTAAATACTACAAAATAGTTCATGCAAAAATCTGAAATTTTCTCAGAGTACTTTCTGCTCCATTTTTCTGAAAATGTTCTCCCTTTTCCTTTCCTCACACATACTCCTCTTTGGCCAATTCCTACATATCCTTTAGTCCTCATATGATAAGCCATTGCTCAGGAAGCCCTCCTGGATCCTTTATTTCTTGGTTGGGCATCCCTATTAGTGTTCTTTTTATTTTTATTACTGTTCCTATAACAACACTCATCATGATGTGCTAGAATTGCATCTCTACGCATCTGCGTCCATCACCAAACAGTAAATTCTTTGAGATCAGTGAGTATGTGTTTTGCACACAGAGTATGGCATAGGGCCTGTTGTGTACTACATTCTTATAAAGCATGTGTGTTGAATGAATGAACGAATATATTTTTTAACTTTTATTTTTTCTTCTTGAGACAGAGTCTCACTCTATCACCCAGGCTGATGTGCAGGGATGCAATCTTGGCTCACTGCAGCCTTCGACTTCTGGGTTCAACAATTCTCACGCCTGAGCCTCCCCAGTAGCTGGGATTACAGGCGTGTGCCAACACGTTCAACTAATTTATGTATTAATATATTTTAGTAGAGACAGGCTGTTCTCAAACTCCTGAGCTCAAGAGATCTGCCCACCTTGTCCTCCCAAAGTGCTGGGATTACAGGCATGAGCTACTGCACTCAGCCAAATAAACAAATAATTTTTCTTTTTAAAATGAAATACTTACTTGGCAGAGACCACCTACTGTTACGCAATCATTCTATAGTCTTTAAAATCTAACACTAATTTCAGGTATCAAAATTTATATTTTTAAATGTTTATATATTTATTGTCATGTGAGATTTTATGGTGGTCAAGTTCAAAGGGCCCAAATATCTAGTCGCCCTAATAATATTTTCAGTGTTTTTCAAAAGCTTACAGATTTTGATCATTTACTAATGACACTCCACTGCTCACTCAAAGCTACACTGACTAGCACAAATATCCTGCTTCTTTGCTTAGAGTGAGGCTGCTAGTTGGCGCATTTTGATGAGAAATTCCAATCGGCAGGCATATGCAGATTTGGATATTTTTTAAAAAATGAAATAAGACATTTTAAAAGTAACAGGTTTACAGAGAAAAAGTTTACTAAAACAGGTCCTAAGGAAAAAGACTTTGAAACCAGTTACCTAGCAAACTATAAAAGCTAAATGCCCCAAATTGTAATGATAGCCAGTTGCACCAAAATTCAATGTTATTCATATTTTATTTTTCAAGATAAAAAAGTTACTATGTATTGCCAAGTTTGAAACTGAATGCTCTATCTCATTCCTTTAAGCCAAATCTTTACAAGAAAAGGATTTCTACTTCAAAAGAAAGTGACACAATACTCATAATTAACATAAAAATAAGCATTTGCCTAATTTCAGGAGAGTACATTAAGTCATTAGTATAAGTGGTGTTTTGCTTTGCACTCTCTTTACATTATTCCATCTCTTTCCATCTGGGAGCAAACTTAACAAGCAATTTAAAAATAATTGGTGAATTAAATTGTCATTGGTGGCCTCATTTTCCTTTTTCGCGTATGTCTTCAACAGACTTACTCTAGCAGTACCATTAATACAGCTGCGGTAAAAAAAATCTGTGCAAATGGCATGTTATAAAATTAAATGGTAACATATTGTGTTGCTTGGGATCACAGTCAAGTCTAGAGGCAAAATAGAAATAACAGATGCAATACAAATGTAGAGTTATTATGTGTGTCATACTGGAATCTAGCCTCACAAAATTAGCACAATATGCTCTACCTGAGGATAAGCTAGGGAAAAGAAAAAAAAAAAAAAGAAAGAAAGAAGGAAGATTGTGCCAGCAACATAAATGGAGACATAGAAACATTTTAATCTTAATATGGTAATACGTTTTGAAAAGAAATTGTACATAGATTTTTTATTTAAAATTTCAGACCAAGAGAAATGCCTTCTATATTAATATAGTTCTCCAAAATGTTTTTTGGATCATGAAATTTCTGACATTCCTTTTGAATTTAGTGAATTTACTAGTTTGAATGGTCCTAATTAAATTCTTCCCTAAAGCTATTTACAGAGGTACCTCCTGATTTTATTAGTCCTTTAGTGATGCTGCATGTCTGGTTTGGAGAGTAACTTCCAGCAAATGAATAGTATTTATGCTTAAAACTTAAATGTGTGTGTGTAACATATTGAATACGTAATTTAATATAATATCTTTAATACTATGCTTTACTAATTATCTAATTTATGTGTGATACATCATATCATCATATAGCTGCCTGGGTTTGTTTTGAATTGTAATCCAAAATTAATTATCTCAATTATAATAACTTTTATCTTTACATTAAAAAGTAAAAGATCCCTTTTCCTCATCCTCATAGAAAAAAATAAGAATGTTAAAAAGAATCAAAACTATGTTTTTTGGTGAAATTACTGGCTCCATTTATTTGCCCTCCCGCTACTTATGCTTTTTTCCATATAACTTTGCAGTTCCTTCTCTAAAAATTCCCTCTACTTACCCGTTTCTGAACAAAAATATCTCACTTCTCACAGAAAAAAATGAGGGATTTGAAAAAATAATACTGTTAAATTATATAAACATATAGTAAGCATTTTCTTACAACTGTGAGTGTAAATGATGTCACATTGCATTTACTATCCACCATTCACTACCTCACTTCACCGCCTCAGCTACCACAACTCTCAGAATAAGTACCCATCTCCAGAAAAAACTCTTGAGTCTGTTTTTAGTGATTTGATTTAGATGAGTGTTAAATTATTTGCCTCGAAATATAATTATGACTCACTAGAGTTGAAAATAAAAATTACTATTATAATGAGTTCTATGAGCTAGATGAACAAGTCTACACACCATTTGTAAAGTACAGTGGTTTTGCTAGCTAGTTGGTAGAATCACGATCAAGTGATGCCATCTTGGCCAGCCATCAGCAAACTGTAATAGCTGATACTGATAATTATGAATAACAGCAAACTTGAAAATAATTACATAATTAAATACTTATTTGTGTAATGAGCTGCTTTTAGAATCTATGCCAGTGGGTCAAGTAAGAAGAAGTAATTGGATCAGTAGGAGACATTTAGTAGTTAAGAGACTTGCTTGTGCACACCTAAAAACTCAATGGAGGTTAAGTAGCATATCACTGCCAAAGAGATTCTCTAGCACTGGTGGGCCTCAGCAAAACCGTAAGTGGCCTTGTGAGACTGTGGGACTTTAGCACATTACTGCAATAGACTCATAATCTTATCTAAATCAAAGACTCTGAAAAAAAGTGTTATTTGCTACTTAAAATGCAAACCATTCTACTTCAAAATATATAGAGGAGAAAGAGGACTTGTCCCAAGATAAAATGTGTCACATTTGACAACTATCAACCTTATCAGAGTCTAAAACTTATATGAATACATGCTGAAAGTGGATGCTCTTAGTTGTATTTATCCCCATTATTAAACCTAAATAGAGAAGATCAAAGCCAAGGACTGGAATTTTGAATTATTAGTAGCTACAAATTTCTTTCTTAAAGCTTTCTGGGGCAAGTGATTGTCAACTTCATAGAGTAGAAAATCAAATTAAAATGGAATAAATATTATTATTCTGAAGACAAGTGTTCCTTTTTTCATAGAAACATTAAAAGTATTTGCTAAGTATGATAAAACACGTATTTCTAGAAAACAGCAGATATAAGACAGTGATTTTCATTTTTTTCTATCGACAGTATAAACATTAGTATAGAAGTATGAGAGCCCGTATTGCTGATGTTTGGAGACTAACATTCCTTGCAAAGAGATGTCTATGTCCTTTCCAACTCTAATAATCTGTGATTCTATAATTTGATATTAAGCGAAGATTTTAGTAACACCTAATTTCTGAATTGAAAAGAATTTTTAAAATTCTCACCCACTTACTCAATACTTGATTTTCTTCTATATGAATAGCACAGTCATATAGTTCATGCTTGAGCCAAATTTATATTAGCCTAAATACATTTTTGATGAAATATTTTTGTTTCACAAAAATTCTTATATTACAAAATTTTCTCTAATATATATATGCTTACTGCATTTTAAATCGGTCTGGCGCTACTGGAAATTGCTTCATATTAAATTATAAGAAATTTAATAATCAATAATAAGTATTTGGCTGGGTTAACCATATTTCTTACATAACAAATGCTGATAAATATATGTGTGTGTGTGTGTTTGTGTACATACTCTTGTCAAATTCTAATTAACAAAAATGTTTAAAATATGTTGATAAATGCAAATAAACATTCACAATATTATTATGATTTCATACATGTTTTGCATCAAAAATGGCAACTTGCTATTATATTAATAGCTACATTTTAATTGGGGTCTCACTAATCTAGAGGCTACTCTAATAGCTTCCATGTATTGAATGCTTCCTTTGTCTGGAAAGATAGACTTTTATATGTTAACATTGGTAATTTCTGGGTGATGGGACTGCACATCATTTTATCTTGTAATTCTTGATTTTGATATTTCTACAATGAACAAACATTAAAAACACGATTTTAAGATGTTATAAAATATATATTATCCTATTTCTCTTTTATTTTTATTTTTCAATAGTTTTTAATTTTTATACAAGCTTTGGTCAGTGAGTAATGGTACTTCCACAGAGTACATAAGATTTCAATGTCCAAAGCAAGTCAGTCTGTATTGCATATATTCAGAGCTCCATCAAGTAAAATTCAATGTTAATACAGAGGTAAGTGTTAACAGAGAGGAACAATGAAAAATCCTATTTAGGACCTGACTTCAAATCTCATAAGGGATCAGAAATACCACTGTACTGCTGAAAGTGTTTTCCTAGGAAAAACAGTTTTCATAGCATAGCTCGCTGAGAACTAACTGATTTTTGGCAATTAGATCACCCATTTTTGAGTTAAAAAAAGATAACAATTGAATATCATTTGAACTTCTAATACCTATTAAGAAAAAAGTTATTTAAAAATGTTTGGAATTTTTGGTTGGAAATCTATGCAGTTTTGAAATTAAAATATCGATTGTGAGAATAGTCTCATTCAAAGTTGAAATACACTCTTCAGTAACAAAATAATACTGAAAAGGGTGAGTGCAATGACAAGAACATCATATGAACAGATATTATATTCTGGAAAAAGTATAAAAGCAGATTCAAGTGATAGAGATTGATATCCCAATTAAATTAAAAGAATGCCCAGAAAATCAGCATAATTTTCAATAAAAATGATACTTTATTATGAGTAGGTAAGTAGAGAGTGTATTTATTTAGATGCTCCCCACTGGTGTCCTTGTGAAAATGGATGTCAATTGTGTCAATAATAAGCAATGCTACTTGCACCTCAATTTCTCAGAAGGTGTTCAGGAAAAGAAGGTACCAGGTACCTTAGCAGGCAATGGGAATGAGGTTGGGATATTTGAAAAATAAAAAAGGGAAAGATTAACTGAAACACTTGTAAGGAGATTTAGATCTCCAAAATTCTTCTTTAACTCACAATCAATTGACTTCAGATTTGCCTATGCCCATATATCACCCCTCACACATCAAGATTAGAAGCAAGCACATATAGCAGTGGCGAGGTAGTGAATAGAACAAAGTAGCCATTTGTAGCCCAGAATCAGAAATGTAGGAAGTGATCCAGAGAATAGAGCTTGCATACTGACTGCAGGGGGACTATGCAAGGAGTAAAATATTAATTTCTAGGCAGGTACCAGAATCTAAACAATGATAAGCAGGTATATATCTACCAGCTATCAGAAACAAACATGGCAGAGATTCAAAGTAGAGAGTCAGGCAGACTAATAAAAGATAACAGTAGTCAAACAGTATAGAAACAATGTAATGATCACAAATGATTCTGTTTCTGCCATCCTTCTTCTAAAATTCTATATGTGACAGAAAGTCTAAAATGAAACAAAATAATATGGAAATTATAATTAAAAATTATTCTTGACTGAGTTACAGTCAACATGAACATAGGGATATGGACAACAGCAACATTAGAGGGGTCATATTTGCAGGGTCTTTCTGGAGTCAAGTGAATTTGGAATTACAACATGGTATGTGTTTAATGCTCAGCAATTATGTTATGAGCAAACAACAAGTTATATTGGTGTGGGATTTTGAGCAAAATTGCTTTATTTATTTTATTTATTTTATGAAGGGAGAGGACCAAATTTTAAATTTCAGTTGAGGCTTTCCATTTGCAGAAATGGTAGATTTTCATTTTAGGAATCTTCCATTAGATAATGTCAGCTCCTAATACTTCTCATTCTCTTGTAATTTCTTTTTTTATTAAATTGAGATTCTCAGTGAGGTCATAGTGTAATGGAGAAAAAATAGGTCTGCGAGAAAATTGTGATGTCTTTACCAACAGAAGGTGATAGGATCGCAGGTGATAAAAACAAATGAAATAAAAGAAACAGAAAACCTAAAGAAATCAATCCTATACTTTGTCCACTCCATTTTTTTTCTCCTTTATTTCTTCCACTTTTTCTTTTGAAAGGTACCCTTTTAGTTCCAAAAATGTAGAGAAGAGTATATTCATTATTTTAGTTTTTGTTTTCTTTCAATTGCTTTAAAATATTTTTCTATTTGATCCTAACATTCACCCTATCAAAAAGATATTTTGAATGTTTTGACAAATAAGGGTGATGATGTTCAGATTTCAGTGATGCACTTAGTAATTAGCAGAGCCTGTATCCAAACTTGAGTTTGACACATTTTTAATACCTATGCTATTCCTTACAAGCTATGTTAGGTTATAGATGATTTTTCCCACTGTCCAAAACTAATTTTTTATGTCCTTCATAATCTTCAGAAATGTGTTTTGCCACTTTAAGGAGGAAAAATTGTCTGTAAAATCCAAAACAGCAATTTTGCTGTTGCAATGGAACCCAACGAGTGATGCCAGCCCACTGAATTGAACAGAAAGACAGTGATGATTCTTTGTGAAGAGAAAAAATATACATACACCTCTATAATGTGAACAGAGCATAATAAGTGGCATTTTTGCAATTTGGCTGCTTGACATCCTGTGTGAAGTTCTGAATATCCTTTTTTTGAGCATAAAGCAAGGACATGGCTTTTTTTCCCCTTCATGCACTCAAGGGACTCACTCAAACACCTAATAATGCTGTTCAACCTTTAATACATTCATAATGGAATTCCCCAGTTAGCGTGTTTTCACTTGCCTGGGTAGAGGCACCAGCTACAACCTCTTCAAATACTTAAAAGAAAATACTGTTCACATTAATTGTAAGAATCTTCAAAAGAATGCTAGAATACCTCAAATGGAAAATTCACAAGTAGTAGCAGACAAGAAGACATAGAGCATAGGAGTGAATAGTAGCTATAAATCAGATACAAGCCACATTAATGAATTGAGATAAGAAGTGTGAAATAAAATCGATCCCCGCTCATCAGAGAAGGAGGAGAGGGTTATTTTTAATCTTGGGATGAATTTAAAATCAATAAAAAAGTATAATAGTCTCATAAACAGAAATCGAACGACAATGCAAGGAGTTGGAAAAAAATTAAAAACAAAGGGAAAAAAGTACACCAATTTACTTCAACAGTTACAAGAAGCCTTGTTTGATAGTGTTAACTGTATTCATAATGAACATGTGTATAGAGCCTTTTAAAACATCCCATCAAGCACTGCACAGCTGAATGTGACCACTCAAATAATATTTGGTGAACATAAAGAAGAATGCCCATAAATAATAATCTTCCAAGTCAAACATCTTAGATCTAAAAGTTAAGGCTACAGGAAGAGTGAGAACTCTTTGTGTGAAGACACTCATAATTAACAATATATAAGCAACTACATAAGGCTGAAATAGGCAGGGATTGTGAAATTCCACAATATGAGAACACTTATTTTCTTCTTTTCCTCTCATAAATTTTGTTCAGAATACCAATTTGGGGAATCAAGCAGAAGTAATCCCTGCTAATAGTGCTGACACTATGTCAAAAGTTTTGAGCAATAAAAAAAAATCTCCGACTTTCTATATACCAGAAACTTTCATTTTACCCTAGAAAATCAAAGGACCCCTTTAACTAAAAATGTGTTTCTAGAAAAGTGTTCCAAAATACGTCATATGGGGATCTAGCTCCTCAGCCAAGCAATTGAGCCTCTTTTCCTTTTGTAAGCAGCATATCAAAGTAAGGCCAAAGTTGGATACTAAGAAAAGAATGGAGTTACTTATATTTAATATTTAGGATACAAAATAAGAGCAAAGTATAATTGCATAATGCTTGCTACATTTCAAATTTGTCTCCTTCTGGAAGGACCTTCATCTCTGCTCCCTGAAAGCCAAAAACAACAGGCTACTATTTTTGTTTTTCATGAAGCTAGATATTAGCCAGTTGCTAGACTTCAACTGTGATATATTCATGAGAAGACACAAGCTGGAGAATTTCAGCCTAGTCTAAGCAGGACAGATGGAGTTGCTTTTTACCTTTATACAGATCACGAGTTTTTAGCCATTTATTTTTCAAAAGTCTAGCCTTCAGCAGGGAGCATCCATATGCGTGTGTGCAATTCACATTGAGTTCTGAAACAAGACTTCTGGTTTATCCATAAATCTGGCAAAATAAATTCTCGAGGCATAGCCTGGCAACAAAGAACTTGAATAAATTCTTTAAAGCTCTTTTGTAGTGAAATAATATTAGAAGTTGGGGCAAAGACAAAGCCATGAGAGGTGTTGATCTCTAACAGTTTTATGAAAAGATGTTTAAGTAACTTTTCAGTGGCATCAATTTAAAAATCTAGTCAATGATGTAACGTTGAGGATGGAGTTTGCTGACTTTTATCTTCCATGAGCAGTCAGACTAACCAGGTGTTAGTAATTTGAATCTAAGCAATAAAGACTGTGAAGCCACATTGATATAGTTACCATAAATGGGAATCAGTGAGTCCCACCAGCGTCACAGAGAACAATTCAGTCAGTAGCTTGGGCAGGGCCCTGCTAGTCATTAACAACTCCATTAAGCTAAGACAGAAACTGGAAGCATTGCCCAGAGAGGTAATCAGAAGCACTATGCTCCCAAGACTTTCCTTAACAGGTGCTCATTTTCATCCTGGTAAGATTTAGAACTAAGCATATACATATTTAAGAGAATCATATTAGAGTATGGATATTTGAAATCTATCAATATTTACTATTTTATATTCTTAAAATATTTCAGATAATTTGCCTTTTTGAATCACATTTGTACTTATGATGTATAATTAAGTAATTTACATACAGTTATATTAAACTTAGATCTATTAATTTCACATAGTAGAGGCTACTAGTTATTCCCAAATATGTTCATTCTTCCTTTCTTTCTTCCTTTCCCTTCCTTCCTTCCTTTCTTTTCTTTCTTTCTTTTTAAAATACTGCTCCTTCCTGTACACTGATTTTTTTTCCTTTCTTGTTAGCAGTAAAAATCTTGATTTTTTTTGTAAGTCTAAAAGACTGTAAAACCTTCCATTCTCTGCTCAGTTATTTGTGATGTTAGGACTGAGTTCTAACTACTTAAATGTATTTATAGTGCTATATAAAACTTCCAGAAAGCATCTTTGGGGGAACAGGGGCTTGCCCTTTTCTTCTTCTCTCCATTCTCTTTCTTGGGACTCTACTTTAATGATTCCAGTTTAAGCAGCCATTATAGACCATGAGATTAAGGATTAGACCGTGGCCATGGAATAATGTTGATCTGGGAGGAAGGTGAGTTAATGAGGTCTTCAGAGAGCTGCAGTACTAGCTGCTGGTTTCATATATCTAGACTTCTTTCATAAAACGCAAACTGCCATTCATACTTGTCATTATTATATATTTGGGAGGTTCTATATTTCAAGAAGCTAAGCCATATAATAAATAGTTTGTATTTAAAAAGTCAGAGTATTTTAAAAGGATATATGCATAATGGAATACTATTCAGCCATAAAAAGGAAGGAAATGATTTCTTTGCAGCAACATGGAAGGAACTACAGGCCATAATCTTAAGTGAAACAACTAAAACACAGAAAGACAAATATCACATGTTTTCACTTAAAAATGGGAGCTAAATAATGTGTACACATGGACGTAAAGTGTGGAATGATTGAAAATGGAGACTCAGAAGGGTGAAGAATGGGATTGGGGTTCACCATGGGAAATTAATTAATGTATACAAGTGTGTGTTATTCTGGTGACGGATACACTAAAAGCCCTGACTTCACCACTACCCAATGTGTTCATGTAGCAAAATTACACTGTTGTCACATAAATTTATACAAATAAAAATAAATCACTAAAATTACAACTTTTCCCTTATTAGCTTTATGAGGTTTATTTAAGTACTCATGAGTGGTGTCTTTCAGTCAAAATAACTACAAAGGAAATTTTCTATCTAGATTTATATAACTGATATAAAATATCTCTATAGATCTATCCGTACATCAATATCTATCAATTACTTCTAAAGGTTATTAACTATACAGTTTTCTAAAAGGATCCACACATTAATCAAGTCCCCTTCTCCTCTTAAAGTCATAGTCAAAAGTTGTTAGAAGTTGCTATAAATATAAGTAAATAATATGGTTTTGTAGGCTAAACCCAGATAGTAAAGGAACTAAACTAATATTGTAATGTCCTAGCCTTTCATTTTAAACAAACAATAAAAATGCATATATACACAAAACTGTTTTCTTATGCAAAATGCTGATAAGCATTTTTTCTAAAATAAATCAAGGTCACGTGATCAAAGTGAAGCTTTTGACAAATTAGACTAGTTTGATAACCTGGGTTTTAAAGAAACTGTATCCTTTTTCCTTGATTTTAGAAGAGAACAGCAAAAGATAATTATAAATTTTATTTTAAAATATAATGTGTATTTTTCTCACTAAAAGACGAGTTAATATGAAATTCCTAAACTTTTCATACTGTTTTACTATTGAGCTAACATTACTTTCACATATAAGTAAAATAAATTTAAAACTATGTTTTCAATCAAATTAGATTATAATTTTAAGAAACATTTTTATAGTAATGGAATATAGTTTTGAACTTATATTAAACCCAAATTAATTGGATACTTGGATTATTTTTAACTAAAGTAGAATATTAAAATATTGGTTACCAGCGTAATTTTGACATACATTCCTTTGATTCTTATTTTTACATGTTATAGAGTAGCAATAACTTAGGGCCGTGTTTGAAAATGTCTTAATGTTTGCCTTTTTAAGGTATGGTAAAAAAAAAAATGTGTATGGCCGTCAGATATCATACTATATGTATTCATTAGCATAGCTGTAGTGTTAGACAAATCTAAACCCCATTTCACTCCATGATGTAGAAGTTAAATACTAAAAATTATGTTAATATGGGTAATTTAAAATATACTAGAATCAGTACTGGCAGATAAGAAGAATTGTGTATGAAAAGAAAGATAATGCACTTTTGTTTATTAAGGGAAAATGAGAGCAGTTTTATCCTAAAGTGAAGTATCAGTTATTTTCAGATGTGAAATAGAATAGTAAATGATAAAACCTAAGCAAATACAGGAAGTCATAGTTTTTGGAAACGAGAATTTAATTATCTTAGATTATAATATCAAAAAATAAGGAATCTCAAAAAATGTAGTAGAATATGTTAAAATTTTCCCAAGAGTAGGTTAGTTTTCATGGTTGGTCAGTTAATACTGAAAGCATAAAGAAGCTTGTGAATCTTTTACTGCCAAATATTAACAGCGCAAAATTAGACTATTTCTATTGAAATAATAAATTAATCTTGAATTACTTAGTCTGATTTTAACAATATATAATAATTATTTTCCTTCCATGTAACCTTCTGACATGAATGGCTCACCAGAGTTGTTTCCTGTGTGTTGTGCTGAATTTATTATGCCCTGGATCAATCAATTCTGAAGGAGCTAAGATACCATTAAATTGGGTTAATACTTTCTGTTTATTTAAAATATTGTATTTTCCCTTGATTAACTTGTATTCAAGCCATGACCTTTTATTGTTCTCAAATACTGATATTAATATTCTAATCAAGTGAATAGATCCCTCTGATAACTCTTGACATTTTCTTCTCAAAATTAATTCCTAAATTTAGAAAAATACAATTTAGTGTGCCTTTTATACCTAATACTATCTTCGTGATATCTCAGATGATCACAGAAAAATCACAAATGTTTGTCTTTTACTCTATAAAAAAGAGTAATGCTGAAAATAATTATAGTTGTTGGATATGCTCCTCATTTCTTACATAGCTCAACACTATGATGAGAGCTACAAGAGGAGTTGTTAAACAAAAGCCTTCTCTAAGATAGTTTTGTTCAGGAAAAACATATATTGATAATTCTCTGGAGTGTAGAGTCTCTGAAATACATACATCATACACACATACAGGCATACATTAGAGAGAAGAGAGAGATGTACATATACATATTCTGGAGACTACATTCTGGAGATTTATAAATATCCTTATACTTATTTTTAACCTCAGAACATAATTACTAAATACCCTTATGACTAAATATATATTATACCTTAATAGATCTTACTATTCTTTATCCTTATGTGTTGGTCCTCTAATAAATTTGCCATAGCCATTTAATTCTGTCTTTGCCAGGTTAAGATTTGCTTGCTTGCTTGCTTGCTTGCTTGATTTCAACTGTCCTGTCTTCAATTTCAAATGAGGAAAATAATATCCACAAGTGCACCTAGGTAAAATGTTTAGTTCAATAACTGGCATGTGATCAGAATTAAATTATAAATCTGATCCTAAAATGAAAACTCAAAATGAGAAAGCATTAGGATTATATTTCTGCTTCTCTGACATGAACACTTTATAATTAATTGAAGAGAAATGTTGAGTGGCTAACAGCCAGAGGAACAAGCATGGCTGTCAATGCATCTTGACTTTCTAATTCCTCATACAGGAACTTTAAAAGTTAGCATATGGCTGAGCATGGTGGCTCATGCCTATAATCCCAGCACTTTGGGAGGCTGAGGCGGGCGAATCACGAGGTCAGGAGATCGAGACCATCCTGGCTAACACGGTGAAACTCTGTCTCTATTAAAAACACAAAAAATTAGATGGGCGTGGTGGCGGGTGCCTGTAGTCCCAACTACTCGGGAGGCTGAGGCAGGAGAATGGCATGAACCCGGGAGGCAGAGCTTGCAGTGAGCTGAGATCACGCCACTGCACTCCAGCCTGGGTGACAGAGCAAGACTATGTCTCAAAAATAAATAAATAAATAATAAATAACTAATAAATAAATAAATAATGTCTCAAAAATAAATAATTTTTTAATAAAAAAATTTTTAAAAAAGTTATCATATGATATGTCCTCAAGTTTATGTTGAAAATGTAAATCACAGGTTTTTAAACTTTGCCACGTAACAGAATCAGCTGTATAACTTTAAAAACACACATATGCCATCCCACCCGATCCGCTGAATCAGAATGTCTGAAGTAGAGTATTTTACAAATCTTCATCAAAAATATCAATGACTAGTAAAAGTCAAAATACTGATCATATTAACTGAATATTTCATATGTAGGGCTTTTTGTCAATTTACTATTTTTTACCTGAAATAAATGATTTTGTGAAGATATAAAATTAGGAGAGACCATTTTACATAGGTGTATTCCAAAAATATCACCTTTCCTTAAGTCAGATACTGAAGTAATGCTCCAAAACCCAACAATTACATGTTACTCCAGATGCATTAGCTTTAATGGCATTGGGTGGTGGTTTAATTTTTAGCCCACCCTGGCCAGGGATATTTCCTTAGTGACAGCAGTATGGTCTGCAGCAAATGTGAACTTTAGGAAATGCACTAACGTATAAGGGAAAGGCAGCTATCAGCATTCAGTCTTCTCTGAAGGTAAGTATAGCAAATTAAGAGAGATGTAGTAGAAATGCAGTAGCAGTTAAGGGATCAATTCAAAGTTATCAGAAAAGGGTATCTTGTAGGACAAGTTCAAAGCTGAAGATTGAATTTTAAATGTTATTGTGTGTTACATGCAAGTCTCTTCTCATATTTTAAATTTCTTAACAAAATCCACTAACAAAGTATTATCCCTATGATGTCTCAAAAAAAAAAAGAAAGAAAAGTTAAAAAAAAAAAAGAAATGAAACTCCAAGAAATATGATCAAATTCACACAGTTAACAACTGGAAAATTCTGAATGTAAAGATAGCTTTTTCAAGTATCTAAGTTCTTTCTTCAACAGTCCACATAGTTTTAAGAAACCAAAACTACATTACCTTGTAACTTCCCAGGTTAGGTTTATAGAGTAGATGATTAGAAAGTAATAAGTTCTTAAGAGGTTAAGAAGAGAAATTTAACTTATTCCTTTGATATTGCTAGGGAAGAAATAAAGAAAGCAGTGGGGACAATTTCTTGTAGTTGGAACCCCTTATATCATTTTTTATTTTTCATTTTTAAGAGCAATACAGAGAAGATTCATCAATCTATGTTCAGGTAGTAATTGCTTTTTACTACTTTAAGCTCATCTGTAAAAATCAAAGTGAAACTGACTAGGTTTTACGATATTTTCTGAAAAGTCAAAATTCTGGTCTTTGCTATCCCTTTTAGGAATATATGGTAAAAGTTTCCCTATTTGCTCATTACTGATTCATCTGCATAATGAAGAGTTAAAATCTTATTGAGAAATGCCTTGCAATCAGTTGAGAATCTAATTGTACCTGTTTGGAAAGGTTAGTTACAAAAGCACCCACGGTGATCCAAACTTATATTACACATCCTCTGATTATCACATTTAAAGTAATATGTCATTTGTTATTCATATTTAGTGTTACAACTCTTTAATAACCACTCAATCTATTTCCCTTTAAAAGGACAGCTGCAATAACAGCAAAATTGTAAACCTTAAGTGTAGCGTAAGAATTCAAGGTGAAACACATTCCAAGTAGTAGCTTAAAATGTCAGTATCATACATGGCTCCCTGAATAAAAGAGGCAAGACGTGTCAACCTGAACAGACATTCATCTCTTTGCACTAAAGTGAGAGATACAAAGACCTGTACCACTCCCAGTAGAGAGATGTGCTGAGACATTCAAGAGTCAAAGACGCTCAGCTGTCTGAGGCAAATACTGTGAGTCTTCAGGTCTCTGTAAATTGTTCTACAGCTGTGAAGGATTCAAAGTAAAATTTCAGAATGATCATAAATGAATAAAATGTGGTGGATTATAGTAGTTACTGTCTTTGGCTGTCCGTAATTTATTATGTTGCTACTTCTTGTAACTGTACAGTAGTTCTCCTTTATTCAAGTGCTTGCTTTCCATGGTTTCAGTTGCCTACACTCAACTGTGTTCCAAAATTATTAAATGGATAATTCTAGAAATAAACAAGTCATAAGTTTCAAATTGTGTGCCATTCTGAGTAGCATGATAAAATCTGTTACACCTCTCCATTCCTTTTTTATCACAAGAATAAGGATGAGTACAGTACTATAAGGTATTTTAAGAGACAGACTACATTCACATAACTTTTATTACAGTGTATTGTTATAACTGTTCAATCTTATTATTAGGGTTGTTAATCTCTTACTGCCTTTAATTTATAAATTAAACTTTATCCCAGTGTACTAGTCTGTTTTCATGCTGCTGATAAAGACATACCTGAGACTGGGCGATTCACAAAAGACAGAAGTTTAATGGACTTACAGTTCCACATGGCTGGAGAGGCCTCACAATAATGGTGGAAGGCAAGGAGGAGCAAGACATGTCTTACATAGATGGCAGCAGGCAAAGAGAGAGAATTTGTGCAGAGAACTCCTCTTTATAAAACCATCAAATTTTGTGAGACTTATTCACTGTCACTAGAACAGCACCAGAAAGACTTGCCCTCATGATTCAATTACCTCCCACTGGGTCCCTCCCTCAATACATGGGAATTCAAGATGAGATTTAGGTGGGAACACAGTCAACCATATCACACAGTTATATAAGTATAGGAAAAATGTAGTATAAATAGGGTTCAGTATTATCCATGGTCTTAGGCATCCACTGGGGGTCTTGGGATATATTGTCTGTGGATAAGAGGGGACTAATGTATTTTCATTTCTCTGGGGGTGGGGGCAAACAAAACTCATAGAATGGATAGATTATGGTGCCTCCTACACCTACCCAACCAAGTGAAACCAGCATTTTACATCAGAGTACCTTATTTTCACTGAACACAGATATTGGCATATTGTATCCTGTCACCCCTGCATAGAATTTTCTAAATTAGAAGAGATGGATACATCTATTTTGCTCTTTGATTGTGAACTTTAAAGTGTATGTTTGGAGAGAACCACTCTAAAGAGAAAACATCTAGAGTGGGAGATGACAATCTTAAACTTCACCCAAATCCAGTGACCCTGAAAAAAAAAATGAAGGTTAAGAAACTCCCCCACCCGACTGTAAACTAGTTCAGCCATTGTGGAAGTCAGTGTGGCGATTCCTCAGGGATCTAGAACTAGAAATACCATTTGACCCAGCCATCCCATTACTGGGTATATAGCAAAGGACTAGAAATCATGCTGCTACAAAGACACATGCACACGTATTTTTATTGCGGCACTATTCACAATAGCAAAGATTTGGAACCAATCCAAATATCCAACAATGATAGACTGGATTAAGAAAATGTGGCACATATACACCATGGAATACTATACAGCCATAAAAAATGATGAGTTCATGTCCTTTGTAGGGACATGGATGAAATCGGAAATCATCATTCTCAGTAAACTATCGCAAGGACAAAAAACCAAACACTGCATGTTCTCACTCATAGGTGGGAATTGAACAATGAGAACACATGGACACAGGAAGGGGAACATCACACTCTGGGGATTGTTGTGGGGTAGGGGGAGGGGGGAGGGATAGCATTAGGAGATATACCTAATGCTAAATGACGAGTTAATGGGTGCAGCACACCAGCATGGCACATGTATACATATGTAACTAACCTGCACATTGTGCACATGTACCCTAAAAGTATAATAATAAAATAATAATAATAAAAAGAAACTCCCCCACCCTTTTGTATTCCAGAGAATGGCTTACTGCAAAGAATCACCCTTTCCCATACAACTTAGATAAGACCCACAGATGGATCCCTTTTTTATCTATGAAAAGATCAGACACAGATCCTCCAAATTCACATTGTTGCCTCATAAATGATTGGCTAAACTGTTTTTTCTCCACTGATTAACTGGAACAAAATAGATTTTAACCAATTTCGGTTAAGTTTCTCTCTTTCTGCCACATCTCTAAACTTTGACCCATCTTCAGCCTGAATCAGTGTAGCAATTCTCCGGAGATTAGGTAGGCCGCAGAGTAAAACTTTCTCTGCTCTATGATGCAGCCAATCATGCCACCCTTTCATGCCACATATAACCTTACCTACTTCTCCCTAGAAAAGACATACCCTTTTTGCCTAACCCTTGTGAGGCTGGCAGATATTATGGTCATAGTTTTTTTCTCTATTTTAATAGTCCCTTTCTTCACCTCACAATAATTCTTTTGAATAGGGTCTCTCTTTGCTAAATCCAGATTCCTCTTTTTGACTTTGAAAATGAAGGCCACAGCCAAGGAAAGTCAGAGGCAAGGAAGGACAAGAAGTAAAAGAGGATGTCTTGGTGGGGTTGAATCCATTGCTCAATTCTGGAGGCCCTACTTTATGCAGCCCTACAGTTGTCTAACCCACAACCTTTGACTTTAGCATGGAGTTCATGCTCTGATAGCTTTCAACTAAAGCAGCCATTCTCTCCTCTCCCCAGCTCTTTTCTTTCTCTGTTGATACAGATAATATTTTGTATTTGAGGGTCTGAAACTTTTCAAAATTCAAATGTCATGGATTGAAACTACTGTCCTTGCACAGAGTGTGAGAATCAGGTGGTGTGGGGGGAAGTGCTAATAATGGTCTATGATCCCCAGAAAGCAACCTATGTTCTAATGTAATTTCTACATTCATATTAAAATTTAGAGATGATTTTATGTTAATAACTCATCTGCAAAAGTGCAAATATATGTGGCTATATATAATGTATATGAAGCAGTATGATAAAGTAAGGAGATATGTCTCATGTAGCAATGCAAATTTGAGTTTAAATCCCTGTTGTGTAATTTTTTTCTAAATAGCTTCTGCATCTATAAAAGAAAATATATCTCCTTTATTAAGAGATTGTTGTGATAACTACATGAGATAATACTGACACGTTTTACATAGAACTCGATCCATAATAAGTACTGAATAAACAATATTTGCTACTACCATTTACATTCTAAGTTTAAGAGTAGCATTCAGAAATAAGAGAGGATATAATTTCCTTGAGAAGAATGCCCTTGATAATCTCTGGTCCTTCCATAGAGATAATAAAAGTTAGAGAAAGGACAAATGGGGAGCTTTTCTTTTTTATTCATCTCATATTTAAACTTTGTAATCACCTTTGGATTCTCTCTTATTAACCACCTCTAACTTATCTTCCCCCATCCATGCAATATTTACTGGATCTATTTCAGGTCTGTGTCCAAAACTTTAGTTTTCTACTCTTTGAGTTCAATGTCACATTACTTGTCTCTCAAATGGATTTCACAATAGTCTCCTATTTGGTCCTTTTCAAGTCAGATTTTGCTTTCACACACTCCACTGAATGTGCTCTCTTCTTAATAAAAAATCTACAAGCATTCCTCTATTACTTTAAAATCATTTCAGAAATCTTAAGAATAGGACTCTGTTTCAGATAAGGGTAAAATTCTGGACTTCAAGTAAAACATGAAAACTAGATTAAATTTCAGGTTATTGTTTCTCACAGGGGAAATATGATGGGAGGATTGTGCTTTACATATCCTTGGAAAGATGTTTGCCTTGGGATGTTTTTTACCCAAAACGGTGACTATAGTTATGTTACCTGCGACTCAATATGCATTCTTCTTTTCTTCTTCACTAGTATTACTTCAGTTTGGTCAGGGGCTGGCAATTTTTTCAATTTAAAATTTCATTTCCTAGATTTACATTTCCATGAAACTAAGTTTCCAAGTGGAAACTTCCAGTTTCCTGGAGAGGAAGTCCTTTGGAGAGAGTTTTGTTTTCTTTATGTAGACACCACCACTCTTTCCTTCTTGCTGCTTCCACCTTCCTCATAATGTCTGAAATTAAGGTCTGGGGTTTTGAGATACAGGAACTATTTTGCAACCATGAAACAAGTCACACATTGAAGATGGCACAGTTGAAAGAGAGAAGCTGATACTAGGACATTTGTGATAGCATCAAGCCACTGCATCACCCAGAGCTGCCCACTCCAGAGTTCATTCAACTATACAAAACAAACCTTTATTTGATAAAGCTACCATCTCTGAAGGTTTTCTTTTCATGCATTTTATCTGAATACCAATTGTGATAGGATGCCCAAATAGTTTTCACCTTTTCTCCAACATTTATACTAAGCTCAACTCTGAACACTGCGATGATAGAAATTTAAAACTTGAGAGAGCTTATCTCAGCCTCTCAATACTTCCCTTATTTTAAAAGTTTTAATGGAAAAATTTCAAACATATATTTAAAAATAGTAAATACTATGAAATGCAGTCACTTATCCATTGCCCAAACTCAAGATTATCAGCTTACGACCACCCTTGTTGTATCCATAACTTTACCCGTTCTGTATTATTGTACATAGAGAGGGTAATGTATGCCTAAACACATTATCACATTACCAAGGAACACTTATTAACCCACGCCTCACTGCAGTGCACTCTCCTGCAGTCCCCTGGCACTGGACCATAGTGCTTTTGTTGGCAGCACTTGTGGGAGTGTTACTGCCAGTGGACTTGGAATATCTTGGCCTTTCCAGCACATCAAGCAATTGACCTCAAGGGGCCAGAGAACAAAGCCACATCCTGGTCCAAGCCATCCAGGGTTAGAGCAGGAAGCCCAGGAGTGCTGAGCTTAGCTTTAGTCCCCTGAAAGCATAAAGAAAGAAAGCCAATTGACTAAACCCAATTTGTACCACAGGAAAAAAAAAAAAACCCTCAAGGGCACCAAACAATATAAAAGCACAAATCCCCATCCAAAGGAAAGAAACTTCAAAGATTAAAAGAACATTAGCCCCCACAGCTGAGAAAGAACCAGCACAAGAATTCTGGTGACTATAAAACCCAGAGTGTCTTTTTACTTCTAAATGACTGCACTAACTCCCCAGCAATGGTTCTCATGCAGATTGAAATGGCTAAAATGACAGACATAGAATTTGGAATCTCGATGACATGTAACCTCAGGAAGATACAGGAGAAGGTTGAAACCAAATCCAAAGAAAGCAGCAAAACAATCCAATATTTGAAAGATGGTACAGCTATTTTAAGACAGAACCAAACTGAACCTCTGGAAATAAAAAGTTCACTACAGCAATTTCAGAATATGATTGGAAACAATAATAAAGCATTAATAATAGAATGGACCAAGCTGAGGAAAGAACCTCCAGGGCTTGAAGACTGTACCTTCTAATTAATGCAGGCCGAAAAAAATAAAGAAAAAATAATTAAGAAAATGAACAAAACTTTTGATAAATATGAGATTATGTAAAGAGACCAAGTCTATGACTCATTGGCATTCCTGAAAGAGTTGGAGGGAGAGCAAAAAATTTGGAAAATATATTTGAGAATATTGTCTATGAAAATTTCTCCAACTTGCTAGAGGGGGTGACATGACAATTTAGGAAACTCAGAGAACCCCAGACAGAGAATATATAAGATGACTATCGCCAAGATATATAGTCATCAGATTCTTCTAGGTTAACATGAAAGAAAAAAAATATTAAAGGAAGCTATACAGAGGGGAAGGCAACATAAAAAGGGAACCCAATTAGGCTAACAGTGGACATTTCAGCAGAAACTTTACAGGCCAGAACAAACTGAGGTCCTATATACAGCATACTTAAAGAAAAGAAATTCCATCTAAAAATTTCATATCCAGCCAAACTAAGCTTCATAAGTGAAGGATGAATAAAATCTTTTTCAAATAAACAAATGTTAAGGGAAATTGTAACCACCAGACCTGCCTTACAAAAGGTCCATCAGGGAGTGGCAAACATGTAAAGAAAAGAATACCTGCTAATACAAGAATGCACATAAGTACATACTGCACTGACACTACAAAGGAACTATACAATTCACTCTACATTAATAAACAGCTAACAACACTGTGATGACATAAAACCCTCACATATCAATATTGACCTTGGATGTAAATGGGCTAAACACAGAATGGCAAGTTGGATAAAGAAGCAAGACCTAATGGTATGCTATCTTCAACAGAACCATCTAACATGCAATGAAACCCATAGGCTCTAAGTAAAGGAATGAAGAAATATCTATCAAGGAAATGAAAAACAGAAGAGGCAAAGGGTCCTATTCTTATTACAGACAGAACAGTCTTTAAACCTACAATTATTAAAAAAAAGATGAAGAAGTACATTACATAATGATAAAAGATTCAATTCAGCAAGAAGACTTAACTATCTGTAATAGTCTGTTCTTGCACTGCTATAAAGAAATACCTGAAACTGGGTAATTTATAAAGAAAAGAGGTTTAATTGGCTCATGGTTCCACAGGCTATACAGGAAGCACGGCTGGGAGGGCCCAGGAAACTTTCAATCATGATGGAAGGGGAAGTAGGCACTTCCTCACATGGCCAGAGGAGGAGAGAGAGTGAAGGGGTAAGTACTACACACTTTTAAACAACCAGATCTCATGAGAACTTACTCACTATCACTAGAACAGCAAGGGAGAAATCCGCTCCCATGATCCAATCACCTTCCACCAGGCCCCTCCTCCAATATTGGGGATTACAATTCAACATGAAATTTGGGTGGGGACAAGAATCCAAACCATATCACTATTCTAAGTATGTAAGCAGCCAACAATGGAGCATCTAGATTAATAAAACAAGTACTTAGAAACCTCTGAAGAGACTTAGATAAACATACAATGATAATAGGAGACTTCAATACCCCAATGACAGTATTAGACAGATCACTGAGGTAGAAAACTAGCAAAGATATTTGGGTTCTAGAGTCAACACTTGACCAAATGCACCTAACAGACATCTACAGAACACTCCACACAATAACAATGGAAAATGCATCCTTCTCATCTGAACACAGAATGTACTCTAAGATCAACCACATGCTCAGCTATAAAGCAATTCTCAACAAATTCAAAAAAAGCAAAATTATACCAACTGCCCTCTCAGACAATAGTGCAACAAAAATAGAAATCAATACCAAGAACATCTCTTAAAACCATAAAACTATATGGAAATTAAACAACTTGCTCCTGAATGACCTTTGAATAAACAATAAAATTTAGGCAGAAATAAAAAAAATTATTTGAAACTAAGGAAAACAAAGATACAATATGCCAGAATCTCTGGGACACAGCTAAAGCATTGTTAAGAGGAAGGTTCATAGGACTACATGCATCAATCAATAAGTTAGAAAGATCTCAAATTAACTATCTAGCATTACACCAAGAGGAAGTAGGAAAAAAAGATCAAACCAACCTGAAAGCTAGCAGAAGTAAAGAAATAACCAAATTAGAGCTGACCAGAATGACATTGAGATGTGAAAATTCACACAAAAGAAAAACTACGGAAAGCAGTTTGGTGATTTCTCAAAGAACTTAGAACTAACATTTGACCCAGAAATCCCATTACTGGGTATACACACAAAGCAACATAAATCTTTCTACCAAAAAGACACATGCGCACATATGTTCATTGCAGCAGTATTCACTACAGCAAAGAAATGGAATCAGCCCAGATGCCCAACACCAGTGCACTGGATAAAGAAAAGATGATACATATACAGCATGGAATACTATGCAGCCATTAAAGAAAAACAAAACAACATTCTTTGCAACAACATTAAAGCAGTTGGAGGTCATTATATTAAGCAAATAACCACAGAAACAGAAAATCAAATACCACATGTTTTCACTTATAAGTGGGAGCTAAACATTGAGTTCACAAGGACACAAAGATGGGAACAATAAAAACAAGGGCCTACTTGAAGGGGGAGGGAGGAGGGCAAAGGTCAAATAACTATCTATTGGGTACTGCACTCACTACCTTGGTGACAAGGTTATTTGTTCACCAAACCACAGTGACATGCAATTTACCCATGTAATAAACCTGTACATGTATCCCATGAACCTAAAAGTTGAGAATAGAAAAAAACAAAAACATATTAACCCCCAAATGATTTACTGTCACTTAGGAGAGGACAGGGGTCTAGGATATGATGATTCACCAAAGGTTCCATAGTCAGGCCCGGTGGTTCACAGGTGTAACCCCAGCACTTTGGGAGGCTGAGGTGAGCAGATCACTTGAGGTCAGGAGTTCAAGACCAGCCTGGCCAATGTGGTGAAACCCTGTCTCTACTGAAAATACAAAAATTAGCTGGGTATGGTGGTGCACGCCTGTAATTCCAGCCATTCAGGAAGATGAGGCAGAAGAATCACTTGAACCCAGGCAAGAGAGGTTGCTGAGATCATGCCACTGCACTCCAGCCTGGGCAACAGAAGTGAGACTCCATCTCACTTGGAACCAACTCAAATGCCCATCAATGATAGACTGGATAAAGAAAATGTGGCACATATACACCATGGAATACTATGCGGCCATAAAAAAGAATGAGTTCATGTCCTTTGCAGGGACATAGATGAAGCTGGAAACCATCATTCTCAGGAAACTAACACAGGAACAGAAAACCAAACACCACATGTTCTCACTCATAAGTGGGAGCTGAACGATGAGAATACATGGACACAGGGAGGGGAACATCACACAATGGGGCCTGTCAGGGGGTGGGAGGCAAGGGAAGGGATAGCATTAGGAGAAATACCTAATGTAGATGAGTTGATGGTACAGCAAACTACCATGGCGCATGTATACCTATGTAACAAATTTGCATGTTCTGCACATGTATCCCAGAAATTAAAGTATAATAATAAAAAAAAAAAAGGTTCCACAAGGTACAAGCAAGGGTGATCATAATGGAACACTTTCACGTTGGATATCCAAAGGTATAGGAATAAAAAAGATTTGAGAATATTGGGAAATAAAAAAAAGATGATATTCAGAACAGACTAAATTATCTCTCTAATTTGGCATAAACAGTCTGCAAAACAAGGGTGTTTTGTTAATTCACAACTTGTAAAATAAACACCACATTATTCCATCTAAAGTGATAATTGATTTCCACAGTGTTAAACCAACAACTTTGAAAAGAATTTCATAGTCCAGTCTGATGCCAGAATCCTTATGCTTCTTTCTACTTTTTGATCAGTGTATATTTTGTAAACATACACAATGACAAATGACAGCAAAGATCACTATTTTACATTCTCCCTTCTACTCTTCTACTTCTCCATTTTTAATTTGTTCTTTAATATGAAGTTCTTAAACTCATTATTTAAAGATATCCAATGCTATGAAAATTTGATGTGTATAATTCTCCATGATTATACATATAAAAGTATATAATTATATATGATTTGTTTTATTTGATTTTTAAATAAGTAATATTCTATACATATTAGTCTATGGCTTGGTTTTTAATGTGTTATGATAATTCCCCCAAGGGTAAGAAAATACTTGTATTTTCCAATTTTTGCATGCATGCATGCATATCCATCTGTAATTATAAATGAATCAGTGTAAATAACACATGCTAGATTGCTCTTCTTAATATAATATGTTAGCTGTTCTTTTTTCCTTCTTTTCTCCTGTTTTTCCTTTTCCTCCTCCTTCTCCTCCCCTTTCCTCTCTTCCTCCTCTGTCTTTATCTTCTTTGATCAGACCACTCCCTTCTTCTGGCTAACAAGTGTGGAATGAGAATGCTTAAATTCAAACATTTGGTCAAGCAGATATGTTGCCTAGAGCAAGATAACATTTCCTCACTTGTAAAATGAGGATAAGCATAGGCCCTACATTTGAGGTTTTGGTATTAGAATATATATTCATATACAAAAATGTTTAATATAATGCTTGGCACATAAAGAGACTATAATCAGTGTAAGCAGTTATTAACTACCCTGCTTATCTTTCCAGCCATTCTATTTATATTTTTCACTTGTTTCGCAGTGTTTCAGTTATAACAGCCTTTTCTCTCTTCCTTAAATAGGCCAAACTTTCTCTTGCCTTAGGGCTTTTGCACTGGTTGTTTCACCCTTAGGTATTTTACTATGAACTTACTTACGCATCTTTTTCTGCTTCTTTTTGCCCTCTAAAGTACTATATATAAGTTCTATAAAAGTTGGAATCTGGTTTGTTGTGTTCTACACTGTGTCTCTACAGCCTAATATCATGCATGACACAGAGTTTATGGTTTAACATGTACTTGTTGGATGACTGTAAAATTCCATTTGATATTTAGTATCAGAGTAACCCATAAAGATAGGTATTATTTCCTCAATTTTATAAATAATAAAAGTACAACAATGAGGCTTAATGCTTTATTGATAGTTAAGCTGTTGAATTGGGCTTGAATGCAGTTTCCTTTTCTGTGTGTTGTATTCTTTCCACTGTTTCCTATGTGTTATGCATTTTTAAAATACACAGAAAATTAGCTTTATGAGATTGTAAATCTCTTCGAATCATGCATTTTACTGTCTCTATGTAAAAATTATAAGCTCACAATAAGTACATAATATGCATTTTTTATTACTAATGATTTTCTTCCCTTCATGGGTTTATGCTTTTTCTAAATGTAAAATATTTGTCTAATACATATATGTAAAATACATAGTATGTGTAAAATATCCTTTTCTAAGCTTGCTATAAAATCTTACTTGTTTATTTAGGTGTTGATAGTTAAAATTAATTTGGCAATAGGTATGCAGGGGATGTCTCTGAAACCCTTGGAAGACATTGATGGTTTCTGAACTTCAACTGGTGTAGCAGATTGAAGGCAAATCCCAGGCCAAATATACATATATATGTGTGTGTGTGTGTGTGTGTGTGTGTGTGTGTGTGTGTGATTATATATATTTATATATAATATATAAAATATTATATAATATATACATGTTTTATATTATATATATATAAGGCATAAGACAACACAGAGAGAATATGTTTAATACGACAGCAATTTAGAAGTAGGAAACAGTCATTGCTTGTGAAATAAGGGAGGCTATGGTAGTTGCTGTGCTGAGCAATAATGACCAAGTGAACATAAGTGGGATATTGCAGCCAGAAATAGGAACAAAAACAGAATAGATAGAATATTTAAAAAAAAAACTTGAAAGCTACTGCTTAGAATGGGCTTGACTCACATAGCTGTACTGAGGTGAAACTAAACCAAGAGATCTTTGGAAATTTTCTCCCGAGACATACAAGAATTTACCTAGCAATATACAGTATGCACCCTTTAAATCATCAGGCTGGCAAAATCATGGTTTGTGTAATACTTGACATTGAAAGTTAACCCCTTCTTTTATTTATAATTAGAGACAAATGAAGAACTATGTAGAATGTGAGGCAACAAGAGGTGTTTAGATTGTTCTTTCAACACTTAAAGACCTGGAATGTCTGGTCCTTTTTCTCCACTTTTACTGTAATAAAGGCAGTCCAAATTCTCATCATTTAACCCCTGAATGAAAACAGGATCCCAACAACTTGTTCCCCTGATGCCTGAGGCCAATGCACAGTGTCCGGAATTTTCCTCTTAAATGTGAACTGACCGTGGTGGTCCAATCCTAAAATCTCACTTCAGGCTCCTAGTGAAGAACTGTTAGTTCTTAGCTAACATCACGTTTCTCTTGGACAGCTCACATATTCATAGTTGTCTTCTAATCTTAAAATACACATAAATTCACTCAGCAAGCTTGTAAAAATGTACATATTTGGACCTCAAATTCAAAGATTCTAATTCCATATTTCTTGGATGTGACTTGGCAATTTACTTCTAAACACATGCTCCAGCAAGTGAAATAAATGACTATATAGGCATGAAGAACTACTTAGATGCCCTAAACACCCTGCTATTTTACAACTATTTGCCAAGAACATCTTCCCTGCCAACTTGGTCTTTTTGTCTTGGAAAATTGCTACAAATTCCTCACAACCCTGTTCAGGTATTGTTCAGGTACTGATCACTTCTCCAAGCTTTCCATTATTCCTCCTTCCCTCCACTAGATGGTTAATAGATTCCTTCTCTATATCAATTCTGTGCCTTGCAGATACTTATTTTACTGCCTATTTTATATTTTGGCTTTATTGTCATCTTCACAAATAAAGCGTAACCTCTTGAAGGGTTGAAAATTACTTTTGGTATTAGTGGTTAGCAAACTACTTGGCACATGTTAATGAAGAATTAATAATTGCTGAATTTAGCATTTTTACACTGACCCTAAGAGTAAGGACCAAGTTCTGGTTCTATCACTTTTGTTCAGCTAATTATATGTAGAGATACAGATATACATATACATATATACATATATAAATTTGAACACAGGGTTCTCCTAACACACATCTTAATAGGTACAGAGGAGAAAGATCTTGGATGTTTGAAAAGGTAGAGTTGCCATTTTCTCTCTGTACTCTCTCTGTACATGATTTTTGGATTGAGAATATATCTAGAATGTCACCAACAATAAATAAACTATGCTGGGAAAATCATTTATAATAGACAGATTTATAATGTCAATTATTAACATACTGCAGACTTTTTCAAATAGGGGAGTTCACTTGGAAATTTAAAAAATGCCAGCTGGTCGGTTCTGAGATCACAGAAATGAAGATTCCTTTGCAATAAAAAGAATCACTTTGTTTTTTTGTTTTTTTCCTAAATCTCCACTTCTGCTTATAGTGACTGTACCCAAATCAAGGAGTTATAAATATTAATCTGGTAACTTCAAATTGAGAATTCATAGCCACTAAAATGGGTTGCCTTAAGAAAAATCTTTTTTCCATCATCCAAGGTCATATGCCTCTTATCAAAGGAACTACACATATATTACAAAGTTATTTTCAGTTTTTCTCATGAATTTCTATGTATACACAGGTCTCTGTATGTAGCTAATAACATACTTAGGGCAAAATGAAAGAAAGGAAGGCAATATTTCCCATGCTCCTAAGTTAAAAACCCTATTTGTCTGTGTGTAATATGGAAATATTTACATATTATCTGTACAGATTTGATCATATGCCAAAACATGTCCCCCTTCAAGTTCTATCTGCTTTGGACATCCAAATACAATTCAAATAACTTTCAACAGTTTTACATGTAATGAATTCTCAGCAAATTAACACAAGAAAATAAAACCAAACACCGCATGTTCTCACTCATAAGTGGGAGTTGAACAATGAGAACACATGGAAACAGGGAGGGGAACATCACACACTGGGGCCTGTCGGGGGGTCGGGGGCTAGGGAAGGGATACCGTTAGGAGAAATACCTAATGTAGATGACGGGTCGATGGGAGCAGCAAACCACCATAGCACGTGTATACCTGTGCAACAAAACTGCACGTTCTGCACGTGTACCCCAGAACTTAAAGTATAATAATGAAAAAAAGACCAAAGACGTTTTGTGTGTTTAAATTATTCTTAAAGCTGTATAAAATTAGCTTGTGAAAGTTGATCTAACTAAGATACAACAAATAAAATGATCAGTGATATGGTAGATCTCTCTTCCTATAGAGTAGCGATATTATTTAACATGATCATTGTTTAGTTATAACAATTACTTAAAAAGAAAATTTTGACTCCCATTTGGTATAATTTTTCTGGAATTCGGTATTAAAGTGTAACTCATATTGTTAGATATTTTTCACCTTGCATTGTCCATCACAGTATCTACTGTATCAAATGCACAGTTCATGAATCAGATCAGCTCTTTTATATATCTGATATATCATAGTTTATTAAACTTGAAATTTTTGCGTGGAAAATATCACATCTGAGCCACTTGGAACTTTGGAGTATAGTGAAACTCCAACACACTGATTTTTTTTCTCAATCCAAATAAAGCATATTGGAAATATGTATACTTGCTTAAAAATCGTTTCTATATAGTCAGTATTTAGGTGGATAATTCAAAAGTACTCTACCTAATATAATGTGAATACTAAGGACTAAAAAATATGATTAAATTTGGAATCTCAATTTTAGAGTTTTTGAGATGAGTTTTTTTTTGAGAAATTAACATTAAATCATTTTCATGTTTTATAAAAATGGAACAAAGTATTCTAAAATGTAAAGAATGCTTGTCCTAATACCTAGTAAGTAATCCTTAACATAGAGCTTGAATCATGTAATAAATTGCCATTGTTCTGCCCTAAATTTTCAATGTTAAAGGTTAACACTTTTGGGTCTAATAGAATAACAAAGCAGAAGGACTCCTAAGACATTCTTCAGTTGACTAAACTGTGAGTTGGTACTGAATTGCCTACAAAAACTGGACTGAAAAAACAGTGTTTGCATTTCAGTAAGGTGAATGTAAGAAAGCCAATTATTAACTCATTAGTATTCCGCAGCTTTACTTTCAAAGGGTAGGAGACAAAAAAATGAAAGAAGAATGTATATATAATTTTCTGTGTTTATTCTATTGACTGTGTGAAGGTACCAGGACAGAATAACATTTGGAAAAAAACAAATATGTATTCATAAATTCAGGAGACAGATTCTTTTTATGGGCAAAACATGATTTTTTTTTGATCAACTGATTCAAAAAAATAATAATATGCAAAGCAATGGTTATTTCCATATAACCTTAGGCTTTTTCTTAATAACAACACAATTCTAATTTTTGCCTTTAGGATTCCTTTAATAATTACATGGCTAATAAACTATTGCTTTTCCTCATGCATATATAAATACTGACTTGTTCCTTATGAGAACATTCCAGGGTATTATTAGAAGCATTTGTCTTGCACTTTACTCTACGCAAGCACTTTAATGATCTCACATTGTTTGGAAATCCCAATGAGCTTTTGAGGTAAGTCTCCTAGCCTTATCATTTTACAGATTTTCATTTAAATAATAATAATACTTTTATTCCTGCATAGAGTATTATGTAATATATTTAATACATATATAATTTATACAAAAATATACATGCTATATATATATATGCACATCTCATATGCATGCTTTTTAATGCCTTTACATTTTTTCCTTAGTGTTTTATTTTATAATCAGTGCTTTATAAAAGGATGCATTCCTTTTGAAAACTATGCTTCCTTCAGCTACTAGGAACACAGTATGGTATATGGAAAGAAAAAATGAAAACCTCTGACAACACTTGCAGCTAATATTTATTAGATTCTTTTTGCTTCATAAAGTGCATAACAAATTTGCATGCATTTTACTCATATGATCTCTCACATCAAGCGGTAATGGTGGATATGTTTGTTATTGCTCCTATTTAACAGATGAGAGTACTGAAATATAAAAAGGTAAGTAAGTTTCCCAAGCAACTAAGCAAGTATAAGTCAAGATCTGAAACATAACAATGTGTCTGTGGAATCTGATTTTTAAATACTGTTAATCACTTTAACAGCACTAATTTGGCAATAACTTATTTCAAAAGCTGCTTCCTTTCTCTAAGCCTCAATTTCTTCATATTAAAATTTCAGTATGAATATTGCAACTTTTAGGATACTCATAGCACAAATATTATGTTTAAATTAGTGATTATCTTAGTACTGAGAGTAATGGTGCCAATAATAATAGTTTCCATTTACTAAGTCTCTACTGTATACCAGAAGCACTGTGAACATTACTTCCTCTAACCTGCATAACACATCCCCAAGACGAACATTTCACATTTTATAGTTAGAAAAATTAAGAATCAGAGAAATTAATTTTCCCAAGATCATGTAACTAGGACATAGAGTATCTGGAGTTAACATCCTACTGTATGTGACTCAAAGATATTTATTTTCTTATCACCAAACATTGTAAGTAATTTTTACTGTATTTTACACATCAAAAACCTTAGCCAGCACACTATCATACATTTACTGAAACAGAGTAGATATCCTTATCTTTCACTTAGAGGCATTGCAGCATGGTTAAGGGCAATGCTCTTGAAGTCAATATAGTACCATGGAATTAAAAACAAGAAAAAAACTGGGCAAGCCTCAGTCATACTCTACTACAGATGCTCTTTGACTTATGATGAGATTATATTCAATAAACCCATCATAAGTTAAAATACCCTAAGCCTAAGATGGATTTCATCTACCCAACCTACTAAATGTCATAGCATAACATAGCCTACCTTAAATGTGCTCAGACCACTTATATTGGTCTACATTTGGGCAAAATCAAATGCTTATTTCATAATTAAGTGTTGAATATCTGATGTGATTCATTGAATATGGCACTGAAGTGAAAAACAGAATGGTTATAGGGGTGTTCATCATTTATGTACATAACTGAAAGCACAGTGGACATAAAGAGTGTTTGAAGCATTGAACTAAAATTAATCGCCGGATGATGGAGATGCTACAGCAACAGAGTCACCAATTTCTCCTTCTTCTGATGAGGTTCAAAAATAGCTGGTACAGGTTGAGTAACCCTTACCTGAAATGCTTGGGAAAAGAAGTGTTTCAGATTTCAGATTTTTTTGAATATTGGAATATTTGTATTACATAATGAGATATCATGGAAAGGGGACCCATGTCAAAATGCAAAAGTCATTTACATTTCACGTATACACACATAGCCTAAAGGTAATTTTAAATGATATTTTAAATAATTTTGTGATATTTTTACATGAGGTCGTATGTTGAATTTTCTTCCTGTGACATCATGTTGGTGCTCAAAAATTTTCAGATTTTAGAGAATTTCAGATTTCAAATTTTCAGATTAGGGATGTTCCACCTGTAGAAGAAACTGGTTATTGACACTTATTGATGGTCTAGAGTTTGATATGGTTTCTCTGTGTCCCCACCGAAACCTCATCTTGAATTGTAGCTCCCATAATTTCCACGTGTTGTGGGAGGGACCCAGTGGGAGATAATTGAATCATGGGGGTGGTTTCCCCCATACTGTTCTCGTGGTAGTGAATAAGTCTCTTGAGATCTGATGGTTTTATAAGGGTTTCCCCTTTCACTTGGCTCTCATTTTCTCTCTTGTCTGCCACCATGAAAGATGTGCTTTTTGTCTTCCACCATGATTGTGAGGCCTCCCCAGCTATGTGGATCTGTGAGTCCATTAAACCTCTTTTTCTGAATTCACAGTGTTCTTTGGAAAGATAGCAAGTATTGATTGTACAGCTTATTTCTTATTATTACATATCTTTCTGTAACAAGCAAGAGCACTGTGTCTCTGCCTGTCAGTTCTCATGAGTCTCTCCTAATCGACGTGCCATTTCTTTAACATCTGTATGCCACTGCTGAATGCAGCAAAGGCCTCCACAGGTTTCTTTGCTGTACACTTTCTTGGTTCCTCCGGTTTAACTTCTTCCTCTGCCTCAACTTCTTTACTTCTTTCTTCCTACAGTTTGATCACTTGAAAACTCAGTGCCAACAAACCCATGAATATCCTCTTCATCAATACCCAATTTTAGCTGTTTCTCAAGTGCTAATAACTTGTTACCTACTATTCATCAACAGCAGAGTCTTTGTTAAAGCTTTTGAATGTGTTCACATATGTCTTCGAAACTTTCTTCCACATGCCGATCATGCACTGCTGTGTGACTTCTTCCCATGCTGTTGCGATGTTCTGGATGGCACTTAGGATGTAAAAACTTTTCCAAAACTCTTGGAGAAGTCAGCCAGACTCAGTCACTTCACTAATCTACACAAATCCTTGGCATAAATATACTTTGAAGGGAGCTATTGCTCCTTGTTCCATTGGTTGAATGAATGTGGTTTTGTTCAGTTTCAAATACACAGTCAAAAAAATTGCTTTTATTTCTGTTTGTTTATTCACTTTTCCTGATTGTCTTTATGCAGAGCCCTAAAGAAGTTAGTGGTAAAGCCAAACCCTTGACATCAGCAGAACTTTGAGCAGCATATTTGGTTCTTCATTTCTCCTGAAAAGAGTGATAGCCAAAGAACATATCTACCCTGATGCCCTGGGAAAAGTTAATAGTTTGGCTGACAGTACTTGAACATAATTGGAGCATCGGTGACAGGGAGGACTGAAGAAGATTTATGTGATTAATTCTCTCTACTTGGGTACAGAGCTTAAACACATTTGTGTCACATATAGGTGCTAACCAAAGAGTAACTTCAGCAGATGGATAAGTGAAACCATTTGTAGGAGATCAAGTGGGTCCCCTTAGTACTCCCTTGTGTTGTGATCAAAGTTATTGGAAAACTACAATGGACTAACACAGGAAGAACTACTAATGGCCAAGGCTCTTCAGGAACAAAATTTCAGGTCATTGTTTCAGACAAAAGGACCTGATGATCTGGTTAAAATAAAAGTAATAATGAAATAGGTAGTACAAGAAGGAAGCTATAAACAAGCTATGACCATGTGACCAATTGCAAACATAAGAATTGCGATAATTATGAAAAGTTCTTTCTTATTTTGGTGTGAATGTATTTCAAAAAGATTAACCAAAGTTTCCCTTTTTTCCACGTCTCCTGCCATCTAACATAAAAATGTGATAATAGTAATTAACTTTATGTCACCGTATTTAACTCATATGATACTAAAGAGGGAGAAGTGTATCAGAAGTGGAATGAACATCGACCACTGGTGAACAAATGACTTTTGTGAGTTTGTATCCACTTTCAGAGTGATGGTTAGCGTGCTTTCAGTTGGTAGAAGTATAGATGCGTCACCTTGGAAAGAAGCATGATTTTACCGTTACCTTTATTTGGAATGTAAACGTGATTTAAAATGGAATACATTGATGTCAATTTGAGAGGTAAACTTTAGTGAAACCATATTTTTAAGAATAATTTTTTTCCTGTTAAAATTGCTGCAGCACCCATTGTACCTCGTGTGGGTACCCTGTTCTGCTCTTGCATGCTGTTGCTGATCTGCTGACTTTCCTTGTCAGTATGAAGTAGTTAGTAGCATACAGGTTAAAGGTGGTAACAGATATGGGTTACAATTATTGTCCCCATGGACTCTAATTTGGCTTCATGGATATCAGTTTGCCCTCACTCTCCTCTGATTCACACTAACTTTTCCTTCCCAGCTGCCAGCCTAGGTGACCTGCAGATTCTTCACGCCTACCACCAGAAACAGAGAGAATAGCACTTCACAGATTGCTACAACAGATCCCAGTTTTATAGAGTTTATTTTTTACAGAAAATCTTGATTCATATTGATTATTGTGTTGTTTGTTTCCATATTAAGTCTCAACTGATGTCTTCAGTTTATGTGATATATCATACGGTCACTTTATGGATAATGCATTTGGGTGATCACATTAAATTTGGAAAATAGTCTTTGAACTCCTGGAATTTTAACTCTTAGTCTCAAACCAAACACATATCTAGTCTAACTTTCTAAAATATGACTGAAATAGATTTATATAGCTACTATATTTTTAGTTTCAAATTTTCTCTATACATTTTTAATAGCATTGTTTAATACAAGTCCCTGGATATGTTTTCTATGACCTCAAAATGTTTTGAAATTTTGGGTCAAATAAGGTATGTGAGTGCTTATTTTTTTTTCTTTGGGGGAGTGTTTTCAAATGAACTTTGAAGCCCAGTTGGACACTAACCAAACATTTAAGAAAACATACCATAACCCTTGATTTTATAAAAGAACTAATACCTGCTAATCCAGCTCAATAATGAAAACCCAGAGATTTCATCTTTCAAATTCCAAGTTGACATTTGGTGTTGTTATTTATAATGTCAAAAGCCAGCAATTTATTTCTTAAGAGAAAATTCAAAACACCCCTTCTAGGGTTCTTGACCTCCGGATATCTTTCTGTCCACCAAGATGTCTAATAAAACATAAAGTTTCCATGATATAAATTTAATATGGATTACTGAAATTTGAGTAAGAGTTCTTATTAAATTTAAAAGTACAGAGTATTCTTTCTTCACTAGTGTAGATGCAGGTATGGTTTCAGGAAACCTATCATAGCTTGAATATTTTAAAACTCTATTGATTTTTGAACATGGTATAGACATTTCTGGCATTGTGTGTGTGTGTGTGTGTGTGTGTGTGTGTGTGTGTGTGTGTATTATTGGGGGATGATGCGTATATGTCTACCAATTAACTGTACATACAATAATATCTTGCTATCCTACAAAAATGGCATTACATTTCATTTTAATTTTTTAATGAAGAAAGGGTTATCAAAATTTAGTTACTACTTCTGAAAATTTAATCTTAATTTTAAACTAGAAATGTCAAATGGCAAATGGGTTTTTTCCTCATTTCATGAACTGCAAACTCACATAACATATTGATGTTTGTTAAATCATTTGCAGTTTCTTAGAGGTTTTAAATAAAAATATTTACTCATGCAGAATAGTTATTTTTTAAAATTACTAACACGTAGAATAGACAGCAAATTATTAATGAAAGTATAATTTGACTTTCCATTATTTTCTTTAATTCAAAATATTATATTCTGTCTAATTATACTCTTTAAAAATGTCATTTCATGATGCACGTGTCTACTTTATCTAACTTCCCTTAAAGCCTAAAAGACCTAAGTGAAGATTTTACCATCAAAAGTTAAAAACTAAAGCGAGCCATTTTCCAAGAATTAGACAGTATTTTTACACAGCCATTAAATCATACCACATGACAAGGCTGATAAACTTCATCTGTCATATGAAATTATCTAATACCCCTAAAATAAAATATAATTTTATAAATTTACCTGGTTATCTGAATAATCAGATTTTTCATTTTATGAAATATTCTTAAATGTACAAAACATTTTAAAAATATGAATACATAAAATATGTATATTTTATACTTTAATTTGTGATAGTATGGGTTTTAAAATATTTTAGTGTTAGATTTCTTTTTCTTTGATTTGGCCAAATATTCCATTTCATTTATTTTTGTTTATTTATTTATTTATTTATTTATTTATTTATTTATGAGACACAGTCTCACTCTGTCACCTGGGCTGGAGTGCAGTGGTGCAATCTCGGCTCACTGCAAACTCTGCCTCCTGGGTTTAAGTGATTCTCATGCCTCGGCCTCCCAAGTAGCTGAGATTACAGGTGCACGCCCCCATGCCTGGCTAAAATAATATTCAGTCTAATTTTATATGTCTACACACAAACACACCAGTATTCCCTCACATTAGAATATTGTTATATTATTTTCTATTATTTCAAAAACATCTTATTGAACACAAAACAAAATTTTTGTCATCATTGTAGACATGACAATGCAAGCAAAAACATACTTGAAATTAAAAAGAATCACACTATGTATTTTTATACATGCAAGGTGAATTTTGATTAAAGATTAATTATGTTAAAAAATCTTAATCATATTAATACTCCAAACTATCCTAAATAGGCAGGTAAGTCTCATTTAAGTCTGATGCAGCTGTTATTTGTGAAACTCATGTTAATGTTAATGGTTCACTTTCTCAAAAAACAGTATTTGAAATGCCTACTATGTACCTGGAGAAATTCTTGGATTACAGCAATGAATCAAAAAAGATAGTCTTTGCCCTCACAGAAATTGCATGTAATATAATGATCCAAATATTCTCTATTCTGAGATAAAAGGTGCTGACAGTTGTTTGCAGAAAAATATTAGCCACAGGCTTGCATGTTTACCTTCCATCTGTCTTCTCCCTAGAGCATGGCTTCGTATTCACAGGCTTACAAAATTCTGTCTTTTTATATAGGGAATTCTTCTTGTTTTCTAACCACTTTGTTAACATGAAAACAATTATGTGCTTTACTCATGTAATAAGATTTACAGAGGATATTTCTTTTACATATTGTTAAAATGTTAGTGCTATCTCTGAACAACTATATCACAGAATGAAGAAGGCACATCTTTGTGTAGTCTTAATTTTAACTAATAGTCAATAATTGAAAAACCCAGAAATAAATTAATCTCTGATTCCTTCTAAAGAAAACATATATATAATTATAATAATGTTCACACAGCTTCCTATCAGTGTTTTACTTGCCAACAATAATAAAGACTTTATACAAAATAGTGATTTTTAATCAGATAAATATATAAAGTTAGCAATTTAGGATTATGTGAAAGGATAATAATTATCTGTTAATTTTAAATTGCTGGTATTTTAGTCAACTGAAAATCTATCATGAATATTAGCTGATTTACCTCTCCTGAAAAAAAAAATGAAAGCAAGGAGTAGCACACAGTTAGTTTTTTTAAAAAAGTATGAACAAGTATGAATAAAAATTATATTTTGTGAGATTTAGCTGGAATTTTGAAATTGGCTGAAATAAAATTGAAATAATTGCTTTTCTCCTGGGATTCAAAATAGACTTCAAAAAAAAAAAAAAAACAGTTTTAACTGAAACAAATCTATTCATTGTGAAACATTATTTCAAATCCATCAGGGTCCAAGGTGTTAAAAGAATATTCAAATAATACAAATAAAACATTTACTTAGCAAAACTTTCATACTTGCTATGCAATACAGAATGGAAATTCTAATAGAGGTATCAATGGTTCATCAGTAACAGAAAAACAAAGAAAACATTTGTTATAATAGTGTTCCATAAAACTTACTCATCGAAAAGAAATTTTAGACTGATTGTTTCTAAGATTTGGTAAAGTCTCAAGTGTAGCATGAAAATTAATCACTTGGGGGATGGAGCCAAGATGGCCGAGTAGGAATAGCTCTGGTTTACAGTTCCCAGCGTGAGTGACGCAGAAGACAGGTGATTTCTGCATTTCCATCTGAGGTACCGGGTTCATCTCACTAGGGAGTGCCAGACAGTGGGTGCAGGACAGTGGGTGCAGCGCACCGTGCACCAGCCAAAGCAGGGAGAGGCATTGCTTCACTCAGGAAACTCAAGGGGTCAGGGAATTCCCTTTCCTAGTCAAAGAAAGGGGTGACAGATGGCACCTGGAAAATCGGGTCACTCCCACCTTAATACTGCACTTTTCCAACGGGCTTAAAAAACGGCACACCAGGAGATTATATCCCGCACATGGCTCGGAGGGTCCTATGCCCATGGAGTCTCGCTGATTGCTAGCACAGCAGTCTGAGATCAAACTGTAAGGCGGCAGACAGGCTGGGGGAGGGGCGCTGGCCATTGCCGAGTTAGTTGTTTGATTAGGTAAACAAAGCAGCCAGGAAACTGGAACTCGGTGGAGCCCACCACAGCTCAAGGAGGCCTGCGGCCTCTGTAGGCTCCACCTCTGGGGGCAGGGCACAGACAAACAAAAAGACAGCAGTAACCTCTGCAGACTTAAACGTCCTTGTCTGACACCTTTGAAGAGAGTAGTGGTTCTCCCAGCACGCAGCTGGAGATCTGAGAATGGGCAGACTGCCTCCTTAAGTGGGTCCCTGACCTGCGAGCAGCCTAACTGGGAGGCATCCCCCAGTAGGGGCAGACTGACACCTCACACGGTCGGGTACTCCTCTGAGACAAAACTTCCAGAGGACCCATCAGGCAGCAGCATTTGCAGTTCATGAAAATCTGCTGTTCTACAGCCACCGCTGTTCTGCAGCCACTGCTGCTGATACCCAGGCAAACAGGGTCTGGAGGGGACCTCTAGCAAACTCCAACAGACCTGCAGCTGAGGGTCCTAACTGTTAGAAGGAAAACTAACAAACAGAAAGGACATCCACACCAAAAATCCATCCGTACATCACCATCATCAAAGACCAAAAGCAGACAAAACCACAAAGATGGGGAAAAAACAGAGCAGAAAAACTGGAAACTCTAAAAAGCAGAGCGCCTCTCCTCCTCCAAAGGAATGCAGTTCCTCACCAGCAACGGAACAAAGCTGGATGGAGAATGCTTTGACGAGCTGAGAGAAGAAGGCTTCAGATGATCAAACTACTCTGAGCTGACGGAGAATGACTTTGACGAGTTGAGAGAAGAAGGCTTCAGATGATCAACTACGCTGAGCTACAGGAGGAAATTCAAACCAATGGCAAACAAGTTAAAAACTTTGAAAAAAAAAATTAGATGAATGTATAACTAGAATAACAAATGCAGAGAAGTGCTTAAAGGAGCTGATGGAGCTGAAAGCCAAGGCTCGAGAACTACGTGAAGAATGCAGAAGCCTCAGGAGCCGATGAGATCAACTGGAAGAAAGGGTATCAGTGATGGAAGATGAAATGAATGAAATGAAGCAAGAAGGGAAGTTTAGAGAAAAAAGAATAAAAAGAAACGAACAAAGCCTCCAAGAAATATGGGACTATGTGAAAAGACCAAATCTACGTCTGACTGGTGTACCTGAAAGTGACGGGGAGAATGGAACCAAGTTGGAAAACACTCTGCAGGATATTATCCAGGAGAACTTCCCCAACCTAGCAAGGCAGGCCAACGTTCAGATTCAGGAAATACAGAGAACGCCACAAAGATACTCCTCGAGAAGAGCAACTCCAAGACACATAATTGTCAGATTCACCAAAGTTGAAATGAAGGAAAAAATGTTAAGGGCAGCCAGAGAGAAAGATTGGGTTACCCACAAAGGGAAGCTCATCAGAGTAACAGCAGATCTCTCGGCAGAAACTCTACAAGCCAGAAGAGAGTGGGGGCCAATATTCAACATTCTTAAAGAAAAGAATTTTCAACCCAGAATTTCATATCCAGCCAAACTAAGCTTCATAAGTGAAGGAGAAATAAAATACTTTACAGACAAGCAAATGCTGAGAGATTTTGTCACCACCAGGCCTGCCCCAAAAGAGCTCCTGAAGGAAGCACTAAACATGGAAAGGAACAACAGGTACCAGCCACTGCAAAAACAGGCCAAATTGTAAAGACGATCAAGGCTAGGAAGAAACTGCATGAACTAACGAGCAAAATAACCAGCTAACATCATAATGACATGATCAAATTCACACATAACAATATTAACTTTAAATATAAATGGGCTAAATGCTCCAATTAAAAGACACAGACTGGCAAATTGGATAAAGAGTCAAGACCCATCAGTGTGCTATATTCAGGAAACCCATCTCATGTGCAGAGACACACATAGGCTCAAAATAAAGGGATGGAGGAAGATCTACCAAGCAAAAGGAAAACAAAAAACGGCAGGAGTTGCAATCCTAGTCTCTGATAAAACAGACTTTAAACCAACAAACATCAAAAGAGACAAAGAAGGCCATTACATAATGGTAAAGGGATCAATTCAACAAGAAGAGCTAACTATCCTAAATATATATGCACCCAATACAGGAGCACCCAGATTCATAAAGCAAGTCCTGAGTGACCTACAAAGAGACTTAGACTCCCACACAATAATAATGGGAGACTTTAACACCCCACTGTCAACATTAGACAGATCAATGAGACAGAAAGTTAACAAGGATACCCAGGAATTGAACTCATCTCTGCACCAAGAGGACCTAATAGACATCTACAGAACTCTTCACCCCAAATCAACAGAATATACATTTTTTTCAGCACCACACCACACCTATTCCAAAATTGACCACATAGTTGGAAGTAAAGCACTCCCCAGCAGATGTAAAAGAACAGAAATTATAACAAATTGTCTCTCAGACCACAGTGCAATCAAACTAGAACTCAAGATTAAGAAACTCACTCAAAACCACTCGACTACATGGAAACTGAACAACCTGCTCCTGAATGACTACTGGGTACATAATGAAATGAAGGCAGAAATAAAGATGTTCTTTCAAAACAACGAGAACAAAGACGCAATATACCAGAATCTCTGGGACACATTCAAAGCAGTGTGTAGAGGGAAATTTATAGCACCAAATGCCCAAAAGAGAAAGCAGGAAAGATCCAAAATTGACACCCTAACATCACAATTAAAAGAACTAGAAAAGCAAGAGCAAACACATTCAAAAGCTAGCAGAAGGCAAGAAATAACTAAAATCAGTGCAGAACTGAAGGAAATAGAGACACAAAAAACCCTTCAAAAAATTGATGAATCCAAGAGCTGGTTTTTTGAAAAGATCAACAAAATTGATAGACCGCTAGCAAGACTAATAAAGAAAAAAAGAGAGAAGAATCAAATAGACGCAATAAAAATGATAAAGGGGATATCACCACCGATCCCACAGAAATACAAACTACCATCAGAGAATACTACAAACACCTCTACGCAAATAAACTGGAAAATCTAGAAGAAATGGATAAATTCCTCAACACATACACCCCCCCAAGACTAAACCAGGAAGAAGTTGAATCTCTGAATAGACCAATAACAGGAGCTGAAATTGTGGCAATAATCAATAGCTTACCAACCAAAAAGAGTCCAGGACAAGACGGATTCACAGCCGAATTCTACCAGAGGTACAAGGAGGAGCTGGTACCATTCCTTCTGAAATTATTCCAATCAATAGAAAAAGAGGGAATCCTCCCTAACTCATTTTATGAGGCCAGCATCATCCTGATACCAAAGCCTGGCAGAGACGCAACCAAAAAAGAGAATTTTAGACCAATATCCTTGATGAACATTGATGCAGAAATCCTCAATAAAATACTGGCAAACCAAATCCAGCAGCACATCAAAAAGCTTATGCACCATGATCAAGTGGGCTTCATCCCTGGGATGCAAGGCTGGTTCAATATATGCAAATCAATAAATGTAATCCAGCATATAAACAGATCCAAAGACAAAAATCACATGATTATCTCAATAGATGCAGAAAAGGCCTTTGACAAAATTCAACAATCCTTCATGCTAAAAACTCTCAATAAATTAGGTATTGATGGGACTTATCTCAAAATAATAAGCGCTATCTATGACAAACCCACAGCCAACATCATACTGAATGGGCAAAAACTGGAAGCATTCCCTTTGAAAACTGGCACAAGACAGGGATGCCCTCTCTCACCACTCCTATTCAACATAGTGTTGGAAGTTCTGGCCAGGGCAATGAGGCAGGAGAAGAAAACAAAGGGTATTCAATTAGGAAAAGAGGAAGTCAAATTGTCCCTGTTTGCAGATGACATGATTGTATATTTAGAAAACCCCATTGTCTCAGCCCAAAATCTCCTTAAGCTGATAAGCAACTTCAGCAAAGTCTCAGGATACAAAATCAATGTACAAAAATCACAAGCATTCTTATACACCAATAACAGACAAACAGAGAGCCAAATCATGAGTGAACTCCCATTCACAATTGCTTCAAAGAGAATAAAATACCTAGAAATCTGACTTACAAGGGACGTGAAGGACCTCTTCAAGGAGAACTACAAACCACTGCTCAATGAAATAAAAGAGGATACAAACAAATGGAAGAACATTCCATGCTCATGGATAGGAAGAATCAATATTGTGAAAATGGCCATACTGCCCAAGGTAATTTATAGATTCAATGCCATCCCCATCAAGCTATCAAGGACTTTCTTCACAGAATTGGAAAAACCTCCTTTAAAGTTCATATGGAACCAAAAAAGAGCCCGCATCACCAAGTCAATCCTAAGCCAAAACAACAAAGCTGGAGGCATCACGCTACCTGACTTCAAACTATGCTGCAAGGCTACAGTAACCAAAACAGCATAGTACTGGTACCAAAACAGAGATATAGATCAATGGAACAGAACAGAGCCCTCAGAAATAAGGCCGCATATCTACAACTATCTGATCTTTGACAAACCTGACAAAAACAAGTAATGGGGAAAGGATTCCCTATTTAATAAATGGTGCTGGTACAACTGGCTAGCCATATGTAGAAAGCTGAAACTGGATCCCTTCCTTACACCTTATACAAAAATTAATTCAAGATGGATTAAAGACTTATATGTTACACTTAAAGCCATAAAAACCCTAGAAGAAAACCTAGGCAATACCATTCAGGACATAGTCATGGGCAAGGACTTTATGTCTAAAACACCAAAAGCAATGGCAACAAAAGCCAAAATTGACAAATAGGATCTAATTAAACTAAAGAGCTTCTGCAAAGCAAAAGAAACTACCATCAGAGTGACCAGGCAACCTACAAAATGGGAGAAAATTTTTGCAACCTACTCATCTGACAAAGGGCTAATATCCAGAATCTACAATGAACTCAAACAAATTTACAAGAAAAAAACAAACAACCCCATCAAAAAGTGGGCAAAGGATATAAACAGACACTTCTCAAAAGAAGACATTTATGCAGCCAAAAAACACATGAAAAAATGCTCATCATCACTGGCCATCAGAGAAATGCAAATCAAAACCACAATGAGATACCATCTCACACCAGTTAGAATAGCAATCATTAAAAAGTCAGGAAACAACAGGTGCTGGAGAGGATGTGGAGAAACAGGAACACTTTTACACTGTTGGTGGGACTGTCAACTAGTTCAACCATTGTGGAAGTCAGTGTGGCGATTCCTCAGGGATCTAGAACTAGATATACCATTTGACCCAGCCATCCCATTACTGGATATATACCCAAAGGACTATAAATCATGCTGCTATAAAGACACATGCACACGTATGTTTATTGCGGCATTATTCACAATAGCAAAGACTTGGAACCAACCCAAATGTCCAACAATGATAGACTGGATTAAGAAAATGTGGCACATATACACCATGGAATACTATGCAGCCATAAAAAATGATGAGTTCATGTCCTTTGTAGGGACACGGATGAAACGAAAACATCATTCTCAGCAAACTATCGCAAGGACAAAAAAACAAACACCGCATGTTCTCACTCATAGGTGGGAATTGAACAATGAGAACACATGGACACAGGAAGGGGAACATCACATTCTGGGGACTGTTGTGGGGTGGGGGGAGGGGGGAGGGATAGTATTAGGAGATATACCTAATGCTAAATGATGAGTTAATGGGTGCAGTACACCAACATGGCACATGTATACATATGTAACAAACCTGCACATTGTGCACATGTACCCTAAAACTTAAAGCATAATAATAATAAAACAAAATAGAAAATTAATCACTTACTGTTTTTAAGTCATTTATAATATTTACTCTGACTGTTGTCAATAAGATCCCTCATATCTCTAAATAAACCCTTTTAAAGATACTGAATAAACTCCTTAGAGAATACTGATGGGATGCTATTTGCTATTTTCTCACAAATAATGCTCACTCCTTGCCTGTCCCGAAGTATTAAGATAAAACCAAGCACATTAATCAATTTTCACCAAAATATATTCAATAAAGAAGATCATTTTATCAAGCAAAGTAAATATATTTGTAAGGATTTATCTGAAATGTGAAGCTGCTACTATTGAATCTTCCCTCTTTATTAATGATTTTTTAAAAGAGAATGTAATATAACAAAAATCACTTATTAATTTTGATGGTACCACACTATGAAATTTTCTGACACTAAGTATTACTTTCCAATAGAAATCATCACATTCATATTGACCTTTGGTATGACTGTAATAATCCTCTACTTTGTGTTAAATGAGGCAGTGATACCACTGAGCCAAATTGAATGACTTAATGCATTTTCTGATTTTTTCTGAGTAAAATATATTTTTAAATAATAAAGTTGGCCGGGCGTGGTGGCTCATGCCTGTAATCCCAGCACTTTGGGAGGCCGAGGCGGGTGGATCACGAGGTCAGGAGATCGAGACCACCCTGGCTAACACGGTGGAACCCCATCTCTACTAAAGTACAAAAAATTAGCCAGGCATGGTGGTGGGTGCATGTGGTCCTAGCTACTCGGGAGGCTGAGGCAGGAGAATGGCGTGAACCTGGGAGGCTGAGCTTGCAGTGAGCCAAGATCACGCCGCTGCATTCCAGCCTGAGTGACAGAGTGAGAATCCATCTCAAAAAAAAAAAAAAAAAAAAAAAGGAATAAAATTATCTGTGATTGTGAACAAACATCTACACACAGTTGTGAATTTGAATTTTTAATTATGCGCTGCTATGACATTGAGTGATGAAAAAAGAATTATTCTTTGTAAATTATATGTTACTAGATGAGGTCACCATCAACTGATTTGTTGGCAAATCAATTAAAAAGTCAAAAACATTTTTGACTAATCTACATACATTCAATCAACATCCATCTTCTCTATTTCAATCACATATGCTCTTTCTCATCTTCTCCAGCTATCTTCTTGCCATTTCTTAAACTTATCAGCATATTCATCTTCAGAGTCTTTGAATTTATTCCTCTGTCTATAATGTAAATTCCCTGGATGAATGCATGGCTCACATCTTCAGTCTTAACTTTATGCAGTTTTGCTCTAATGTAATTTCCTCAAAGAAACAAGTCGTCTATCTGAAACAGCATCACTGCCTCCTCAGTTGTTAATCACACCTTGGTTTCTTGCTCTGTTTCGTTTTTACTCCCTGTCTCTATCTCCATGTGGAAAGTGGTTTTGCCTGTTTTCTTCTCTGATGCATCGCCAGTACCAGAACAGATTCTCACACAATATAGAGTGTCAATAATCATACCTTGAAGAAATAACTAAGCAAACAAATGATTAATGAAATGACTGATTGAACAACAAAATTATGTATTGGGCATGTGTTCAAGATTGTTTGTAACAGGGAAGGAGAGAATTGCAAGCAGGTGGTCTTTACTTACATTCTATTTCAGCTGTTTTGTTGTAAAAATGAAGACAAATTTGGGAGAATAATTTTAATACTAAACTTTGACTAGGAACTATTGTCTTTCTTACTCAAAACCAACTTAAGAAGCAACACTCTCAACCACACCCAGGTCTGACAACTCAAAGCACTGCTCTGTAAAATTGTAAATTTTCAAAAGCAAACACACAAATGACAGTAAAAGCAATATCATAGTTTCCAATGTGTCCTGAGGTACATGAAAAGAGCTTAGTGCTAACCAGGTCAGCATTTTTGGAATGAGAACCAAGGATTACTGTATGACAAAATGGAGAATCTAGAAAGCAAAAACTTGGATCAATAATAAACAAAATCTTGATTCTTGACATCAATGGCAAGTTGCTTTGGTGGATTTTTTAAAAAAGCACTCAATATATTAGTATATATCTACATTTTGTTGAATAAACCCATTTGAATTTAACCAAAAGTAGTGTACTTTAACAGTGCGTAGATTATAACAATTTCATAAAAATTTTATATTGAGTATACTTAACAGATTCATTTCTATTCATACTGAAAAGTAATTATACATTCTTTGCTTAAACTACACTACCTGATATAAATATAAAATAAATGCTCATTTTAGTATATATGTCAAATTTGTATGAAGTAGTCATAGATGAAGGGATAGCAAGTACTTTCATGTTCTTTAAATCACATGACATACTTACATTTAGTTGAATTACATAAGTAATTCAATTTAGGAATACTTGGCATTTGAATATTTGTTTTGAAAACTGCTGTAGGAAATATTTTAAGTCCAAAATATTTTCAAGATAGTTTTTGAATTACTATTTATATCTAGCAATTGCTAAGAAACTTTATACTGTTGATTACTGCACTCTATTCAAAAGTGAAGGTAGTGATCAGATTTTCAGTGTCTTAACAGGGAAGAAACTCACAGTCCAATTGTCTCAGCAACACAAATCCGAAGTCTAACAGTCAATATTTGATCATAAGGAATGGAAGAAATGAAATAACTGTTTACGGCAAAAGGAAATTTAGAGAAGAAAGGCCTTAAAGACAGGGAATGGTAAAATCTAAGACCTCAAGAGAGCCCGTGTAAGGAAGAGAGGATGGAGAAATACTGCTTAGGAAAGTTCTGTACAAAGAAAATCTTCATGACCTTTATTTCAAAGCCAGTAATTGAACTTTGGTGCTTCCTCCCCTCTTACATCGATAAATTTCCACAAGCAACTCACTCCCCAAATAACTTTTAAAAAATTATACAATCTAAATGTAAACTTCTTCATTGAGTCCATCATGGCATCCTTGGTTGATGTTGCTTTCAAATTATGGAGACAACTCAGATTTACCTTTCATTTCCCAAATTTACTGAGAGTGTACAATATATTTTAAACTTTAAATTCATGAAGCTCCTTCAGGGTGGGTTTTCTAATCTCTCACGTAGTGATATCCTTTTGTCTCTGCATCTGTCCATTTCTGTACAGTCACAGTGGTGTGTTCCAACCATGACTTAAAATCATTTTCTCCTTCTCTTTACGTAGCAGTGCCTGTACACTTCGGCAGATTCTGAGAATTAGTTTGAATGAGTGGTTCCAAAGTATGTTTAATGTCAATCTATAGTTGCTGTAAAGCAGCCAAGGACTCTGATGTGGCTGGCACTCAGTGGCAGGTCTTTAAGTAGTCCCAGAGTAACTGTCCCCACCTCTCTTCTTTCAGTAAGGCTTCAATGCTATAAGCAACTTAGAGTCAAGAGAAACTAGAAAATATCTGTTCAGAAAGGTATTTTAGACATTCTCACTTAATTAAACATAGATAATGTGATCTGTTTCTCTAAATCCATTCTCCCCTCAAAATGAAATTACATACTAAATACGCTCTACATGCTAGTTCAAGAGCTTTCTGGTGGTAGTCAGGAACTAACATATCTCTTTGTGTGTCCACTTTGCCCCTTTACAACGTAAGCTTAGTATTACCAGCAATTGTGATGAAAATAATCTCTTGTTCAGCCCAAGATGATGTAATGAATCTGTCATTAAGGTGCTGTTGAGGACAAAGATCAGGAATTGAAAGCATCTAACAGAGCCCAGGATGAGAAAGAAGTTTATGGATCTCTGCCTGTTAAATTCATAATTCTTCCAAGCATGCACATATGTATAAATGCACTTGACATATATATTCACAAAGAATATTTCTGTCCCACAAATTATAAAAGTCTTTGAGAGATAGAGACATGTGTATAAATAAGTGTTCTATAAATGTAGCTCAATGACTTACATAAACAATTAGCTATAATTTAAAAAATGAGCTATTTAGATGCTTTGCTTTAGTAGTGAATGTATTTAGATATAGAGATTATTTAGCAATAGACATCAGTTAAGTGAGCCACAGGCAATTTGACTTCAAGTAAATTTACTAATTTAGCTGATTAAAGATTTGTTAGGCCTTTCTTTTCAAAGAAGCTTCAAAGCCTTTAAAAATGAGTGCTCATCATTCTGGTAAAATAGGAAACCCACATGTTTTATTACTACCAATTAAAAGATACTGGAAAGGAGAAATTAAGAGAGTATAGAGCAAGGCTAAAAATAAGTATTTCTTTTCTTTCTTTTTTTCAGACAGGATCTCACTCTGCCACCCATGCTTCAGTGCAGTGGAATGATCTCAGCTTACTACAACCTCCCCTCCTGGCCTCCCAGGTTCAAGTGATTCTCGTGCCTCAGCCTCCCAAGTAGCTGGGACTGTGAGTGTGTGCCACCACACCTGGCTAATTTTTGCATTTTTAGTAGAAACAGGGTCTTGCCATGTTGGCCAGGCTGGCCTTGAACTCCCGAGCTCTAGCAATCCAGCTGCCTCAGCCTCCCAAAATGCTGGGACTACAGGCATGAGCCACCCAACATGGCCAAAAATAATTGTGTCATTGGGAAGTTTTGATTGCCTAAAGAAAAATATAAAAACATTTGCATGGATTGTTTCCCTTAGATTTTTAAGACAAAAATGATTAAAGCACTACATTATAATATCTGGCAGAGGTTCATTTGATCACCATATTTTTAGAAATTTAATGCAAAAGAGAAATGCAAAACATTTACTCTCTAGATCAGTATTTATACTTCTTGTGATGACTTAAATAACTCTGGCAGCTTTCTGAGTAGTTGGCAGTTTCTACAAAATATGCCAAGTAAGGAGCACAACATTAGTATACTATATCATGTCATTTTCTTCTAAAACACAAATATTGAACTTTTACCACCTGCTACTGTACAGCAGTGCTATGGCAACATCTTCGTAGAGTTCCTAAGCTCCTTTGAAAAGTAGGATCTAATCAGCACAAAAGGAAATAAACTATCATCATTGCTGTTGCTATAATTACCTAGTTGGCAAAATAAGCTCTATCTATACAGAATCACACATTAAAACAAATTTGCTTAGGAAAACTAAATGTTTTATTTCAGCCCAGCTTACATTTTCAAATGAATTGGTTAACAATTAGAAAAGAAATTGTTGATAAACCTTGCATTATGTTTATTGAATTTTTATTTCTGGTTAAAAAGGTTAACTGTTTTCACTGTGGAATATTTAGAAAATATAGATTTCTTTCTTTAAAAATAGTTAGCCATAAGGAAGCCATAATTCATCACTGTAACAGAGAATCTTTTTTCATATATCTTTTACTTTATAGTATTTTAATATTTTTTCTCTACTGTAGACACATTTGGGATTTATTTCCAACTTACATAAATGCATCATAATAACTGTAACTCCATATGATTTTATTATGAATAAGGATAGATTTTAAAAACATAATCAAAATGTTCACATTTTTGTAATTACTTAATGTGGCAAATATTTTATTAATACTTAAATTTGTTTAATCAGAGGCCAGCAGTACTGTAGATATTTCTGAGTGATTTCACAGAATGTGTGGGAATATACATCTGCGTCAATTCTTTAAATGAGTAAAAGGAGCATCTGTAATGCAGCAAAATCAATCATGAAGAAGTAACTGATGCAGGAATTGCCTATACAGGTTTCCAAAGTACATGTACGCGTGTAGATTGAGTTACAAGAAAAAGGTCACTTTCTAATAAGGCAACTGACAATTATTTTGTAAAAAATATGAAAGTGCAAGCACATACTTTAGAACAAATATTAGGTACAAGCTTAATGGAAGAGTCTATCATGTAATTAGCAGACAAAATGAGCCACAGACCACATTTACATACTTAGTTTAAAATAGAAACAGAGTCCCAAGAGATAACCATTTTACTGCTGCCCAGTTGAGGAGAAAACACTTTCAATATTTCTACATTAACGTTCAGAGAGTCAAGGTGGCCGATGCAGAACAAAAACACTAATGATAAGGAAAAAAAGTTTTTCCAAAGAAGAACTTGGTATGAATTAGATATTAATTGTTAATTACTTCAGAAGGCCCAAGTGAAAATTCAGACTTCTTTCTCTGCTCTTGGCCTTATTTCATGTTCCCGCTTTCTAAGCACATTAGGTTTTCCTATTAATCAGTCACAATCACCATGTCTAATCGGCTGTGGATCTAGATCCTTACCAGATCCCAGCCAATAGAAGTTAGCAATGTAAGGCTTATTTTGTGGACCACTTCTTTGGAGGAATACGTTGTGTTTCTGTTAGATGACTATACACATGATAGTCAACTTCCAGCCCATATCTGGATGCATTCTTGAGATGACTCTGAATCAAATAATTTCTTTTAAACCAAAACTAAATATTTATATTAATTGAATGAGACTTTTATAAATTATTCCAAGTAAAGCATGAATTTCCAGAGACTGGCATAATTTAAACCCATACTGGAGGGGAATTATCCATGGATTTGGGTTGAAACTTTCATTTTAGTACCTCTACTCATAGTAGATTGAGAATTAAAATCTGAAGAAAACCCTCTTAGATAAGACATTTGTAAAATAAAAAACTCACTTACCATTCCGACTTTCTTCATCAATAGCAACTATGGTAGCTGGTGGTCCTCCCCTAGCTAGTTTGCAATCTAAAGAGAGAAAATAACCAAAAGTAATAATTGACTGCAGGGGCACACACAATGAGAAAAAAATTCATTGAGATGTATATTAATATTTAAAAAGGAAAATCTTGCAATCTAATTAATATGCATCACTACAATTAATATTATTTAAAAACATTTTATAATAACCACATAGATTCCTTACCACATCATAATACAGTCACTTTGTGCATCACAAAACTACTCAAATCTTACTGAGAAAACACCAGCAGGGACCACTGGAGAGCAGAAGTCCTTCAGGACAGAGATAATGGGATGGAAATTTAACCCAAAGAAATAACAGAAAGGGATGATTAACAAGGATAAATTGTAATTAAAGCATCACAACAGAAACAAACATAATTGGACTTTAATTGTGATAAAGGGTCTAATTAGAGAGAGTGAATAGAATTTTAATAATGTTCTAAAGAGAATAAAACAAAGACAGACAAGCAATGCTCATGAGGTTGTTTGGGGTTTTTATTTTTGTCATCTTACCCTCATATTGCCAGTCTGGAGTCAAAAGTATAGAGTCATCAATGGAAGCAGATCAGAAAAATGGAAGAAAGAAAGGAAGAGAGAATATATGTATATATTTAGTGAGAGATTTAAGGATATAAAAAGCATTATACAATAACATTATCTAATGATTTGTGGAAATAGAATATATAAAATCCCTATCAGATTTCCTACTTCTAATATAATGTTAACACATTCACTGGATAATACACATCATTAGCATTTTAAAAGCCGTTACAAAAAAGACTAGAAAATAACATAAAGTAAATTGGTATTTTTCTTACGAAAAGGTAAATACGAATTACTTATGAACAGTCTGTTATCTGTATGCTGAAAAAACTTTAAGAATAGTGCCTGTCAATCAGTAGTGATGATTAATTCATTATTTCAAACACTGCTAATATCCTTCCAGGTATCACATGATAATGAACATAAAAAATAGTATGAGCTATAATATCCATGACAGTTGAAATGTGAAAACTTTGCCTGCAGGATGTCAAATGTGCACCTCTGAGACATAAAGTACTCTACTAGGAAATACTTTGTGAGGCAGAGAGGGCTATGTCATGCAGTTATACATACATGGCACACTCCTGTACAGCAGTGCAAATTAATTTTGCTTGAAGTTTTCCAAATTTGTGTGTTATTTGGGAAATAATTTCAAGGTTTATTTACTTATTAAAATTCTGCCATTTATTATGTACATATACATGAATAATTAGGCCTTCAGGAAGCACTATTCTGTATTGTAAGGTATGTACGCTCTCATATGAAGCAAAGAAGCTGGGAGATCTACACATTTTCTCTCTTTACACTTGTCAATATTGAAGGAGTTCCAAGTCATAACATTTTCAGATCTAAAATATCTCACACTCATTACGCCTCTTCCTCTCCTTATGCCCTCCTACAGAGCCCAGCACTACACTATTTGTCATCTCTGCTCTTGATTTAGTTTCCTCGCTGATCTCCCAGAAGTCTTGTTCTCATCCTGCATTCATCTATTCCTTTCATGAGAATGATTTTCATGTACCCAAATCAAAAGTGAAATAATAGCATTCCTCTGAACAAAAACCTTACATGTTTCTTTTGGAGAAAATGAAAAAAAAATCAGAAGAACAAAGTTTCTTCACATGGCCTTAACATCCTTTATTGAGAATTAAGCAACCTGTCCTTCAATTACATGAATCCTCTTACTGTTGCTGGAATGTAGCCTGTATTTTTAGCAAAATTTTGTTATCTAAATTCATTGTTGCCTTTTTTTGCCTAGCAAATCTCTGCTTCTTTTTGTAGAATTAGATATTTCACATATTTGCACCTAGTGCGAATTAATTTTGATTAAAGCCTTCCAAATTTTCATGTTACTTGAAAAATGATTTCAACATTTCTTTATTTATTTACTGTTTTATAAAATTCCTCCAATTATTATGTACATAGAAATGAATAATTAGGCTTTGGAAAGCACTGTATTGTAAGGTATGCACTCTCTCATATGTACACACACACACATATACACACACTCATGTCACTGTGTGCCAATGCCATAATACCTACTGAAAATAGATAAAAATTATGTATTTTAGTGTGAATGTTGGTAGAGGAATAAATATTTAATCAACAACTTTATGGGCAAGCAGAATATAGAATAATAAAAGAAGGGGAAATTTGGATATAAATATTTTTGAACCTTTTTACAGTTTGTTACTATTAAGTTTAAAAGTAGGCTTTATGAAGCTAAGCCAAATAATATCTTCATATTCCAGCCCTTCCTCACTCTCCGCCTTTCCCATTCTCAAAGTTAATTCTCCATTCATACCAAACCAAATTTATGTTTTTTGCATCAACTGTTAAAATATACTTTCCACTCTTCTTCCCCTGGTTAATTTTATTCCTTTTTCAGGAATCTGCCTACGCATCACCTCTTCTTGAAAATCCTTCTCGTTGTCATTCTAGATTAAGTCCTTATTCTCTGTATTCCTGCAGTACACACTGTATCCCATTGGACTAATTGCCCCATTGGCACAATACTAATGTGTCTTTCTCTCTCACAAGAGCTTCTTCAGACCATGCCTGCATCATTTTCACCTTGGTAACCTCAGAACATGATACTGGTCCTGAAAGAATGTTTGTTGACTTTTTCCACAATGTAGTCTGCTAAGCTACAATCTTCCATTAAAACCTCTCCATGAGAGCAGCTCAGAAGTCTCTGTTCTCACTAACCCCTCAATAGCAGAAACAGCCCAGAAGAAGCTGCTTAACTACATTTTCTCCTGCTACAGTACCCTTAGATAATTCCCACTACGATTTATTATTTTAGTAGATTCAAAATTCTCCCCAATAAAACATTCTTTATATACTACATATACTTCTGGATAAATACAAAAATAATTTAAACTTTTTTAAGACTCAAAACACAAAATGAAAAGAGGTTAAGCAGACACATAATAAATAATCTATTAATAACATTGTTCATAACAAAGTGTTTGTTTTTAAACGATGCATTCACGACAGCATAATTAATTAGTTTTGAAGTGCACAAAAGCATTTTTAATAAGAACAATTATATTTAGAATTGTCTTGGAAAGAAAGTAATTTGGATGTAATAGCCAACTATATATTATGTATGAAAATATCCAAATGTAAATCAAAGGGAAGACTAGAAAGCAATTTGGGGGATGGGGAGATTGTACCCTATGGTCTGTGGATCATCTGTCTGCCACAGGAAAGTCAGGTGAGCTGCTGATACCTGTACCCTGGAAATGGACTTCCTTAATCTATTTAATTTCACCCTTGACTGTCCTGGTTAAATCACAAATTCATTGTTTTTCATGCCTAAAGTTTCTAGCCTGTTAGGCCTATACTCATTTTCCATATCCAATTTGTGGTAAAGTACAGGATATGAATACCAATAACTGAATGCTCAGTGTGGCTTATTTCTGCAAACTTGTCACAATGCTAAAAATAAGCCATATATTTAAAAATATTCATATGCAATAGATGGGATTTAAAATCCAAAGAGGAGAATTAAAAAGACAAATAATGACTGATCTCACAGATACTAAGCCTGTGATACTCTGTTGTCATTGTAGCCTGAATTTTAAGAGCATGTTACAGACAGGTCAGACAAAGGCTTTTGAAAATCTAGGATTTTCCGAATATGCTCATTTCGTAGAAATGAGAGCAAGCACCCAGGAATTCAAATTCTATTCCCACTTTAGCCTATTCTCAAAATGTTCTTTTAACGTTGATCAATGTGTTTTCAATAAGACTTCAAAACTATTTACTTTAAAAAATATATTAACATAGTAATTGCCCTTATATGTTAATAACTTGTGTATTGAATTTCCTACCCATATTTATCTTCTGAGCCTGGGTCCCATTTGCCCAGACAACTTCTGTACTTGCAATTTCAAAGTTGTCTTAAATGTAGCCCTCCAAATCGCATCCCAGTTGCTATCATAGCCGAAAACTGGATATTTTCAATATATATTATTTCAGTGAATGGCATAATTCTGCACCAAGCCACATAAGTCAGAAACCAGGAAGTCACATTTCATTTTACCCATGTTTCTAGCTTTCCAAAATGTACCGATCGATAAGTCTTGAATTTAATTCCTAAAGAAAAACTTGTCATATCCACTCACTGCTTTCAATCTGCAGTGGTACCAGGCTAATCTTGTCTCTTACCTAATCAAATAGGTTTTCCTAACTGCTTTCCTTACAATCAATCTTGCCCTTACTCTGAGTTAATTTTCTGTCTTTAAGCAGAGTGATCTTTATAATTAAAACCTTGCTTATTTTTAAAAGAATTTACCATTTATTTTAGGTTATAAGCTAAAATATTTTGGCCATCTACAACTCATCACAAATATGATTCTAGAATGTAAACTAACATATTTTATATAACCTACAAAGTCCTCCACAATATGCCTTCTCCTTCCCTCTCCAGTCTCATCTATTTCCATGTCCCTCTTTTCCCAAAGCAAAATAGTTTTTGATCCCTTGACTAGGTAAGGTTTCCCAATATATACTCTCATAACTCTGCCTCATAATATCAATTTATGATTACTTGATTCTTCACAGAAAGAAAACTCAGTGATAACATTGACCTTGTTTCTATTCCTCACGGTTGTGTCCACAGGGCAGATTTTCCTGGCACATTTTTGATTCCAAGCAATTATTTACTGAATGCAAAAACAAAGGGCCTCAATCAAATTTGTAACAATAAAATTAAAACAACACTCTGTACATTAATTCCCTTTTTTCTTTTTAATTTTTCAAATGTCTTTCTCAAGTGCAAGTACAGCAGGTCCTTGAATGACATTGTTTCATTCAATGTCATTTCATTATAACAATGAAAAAAAAAAACAACTAATTCCAGGCCTGAGCCACTATCTGTGTGGATTTTGCAAGTTCTCCCCAAATCTGTGAGGACTTTCCCTGAGTACTCCAGTCTCCTCCCACATCTCAAAGATGTACATGCTAGGTTCATTGGCATGGCTACATGGTACCAGTGTGAGTGAGTGTGGGTGTGTGTGTGAGTTGCCCTGAGAAGGAATGGTATCCTGTCCAAGGTGGGTTCCTGCCTTATGCCCTGAGGTACTGGGCTAGCAGGCTCCCTGATGGGAGGCCCTGAACTGGTAAATAATTATCTCACTTTTTTTGATTAATCTTTCTTAAATGCATGTATAGCTCACATTTACTTCAATATTTAATATAAGAAATTTTTGGTCTTTATTTAGAAGTGTGGTGATGTTTTTGTAACCATAACTATGTCATAGGAACTTGTTTATATTTTGTTTAGCCTAAAATAAAATTGGTTTCATTTTATGTCATTTCATTGAAAGTCTCAATTTCCAAGAACCTACGGACAATATTAACTGAAGACTTACTGTAATGAGGAAAAAATTGACAGATAATTTGTTGTCTAAAGATAAGGTCATTGGTGACAACTCAGCAGATGTGAAAGGCTACCAATAAAGTAAGAAAGGTGTAGATAATTCTGCAAGAATTTGAGGTTATTTGGAACAAGTTATGAAAGATTAGAGAGAGCTCACAATAATAGACAAAGTAAAGTGATGAAAAAAAAGGAGAAAATGTTCACTTGCTTCCAAATGTCTATAATTTCTATTAGAATTCCAAGATGTTTTATGATTTTACCAAACTGTATCTTAAAGGAATAAAACTAAGAAATTTCAAATACTAAAGTTTAAATTATATCAAAGATCAACTTACCTTTTTTTTGTCATCTTAGAATTTTTAAGCTATTTCCTTACAAGCTGCCTAAATCACCAGTGAACTCTGTGGCACCTAGTAGAGTATTTGACTTAACATAATCATTTAATTTATTTGCTGAATTAGGAAATATCTTCCTCTATGGAAAATTAACAAAATGAATAATCCATCAAATCCTTAGCTTTAACCATTTCAAATCTTTGGGGGAGTGTTTTAAGATGTTAAAGAAATGGGTTTCTAATATATTATAGTGGTTGTGAACATGTGCTTTGGAGTCACAAAACCTAACTTCAAATCCTAACTTTGGTTTTTAATAGTTGTATAATATTGGACAAATTATTTAACCTCTTGTATTTCATTAATGGGGATAAGAGTAATTACAACTAACTCATATATTTTTACAACAAGGACAAAATGAGGAAATCTATGGTAATTTCTTAGAAGAGTGTCTGGCAAAATGTATAGACAGACTAGGCCTACATTTGCTTTTATTAGTATCCTTATTTTCATTAGGAATATATTCGAATAAAATGTTTTTTCTATTTTTTTCCTTTCATGCAAGGGCTGATAGTAAATATAGTAAATAAACCCTCAGCTCTCCCAAATATTCAGTGAGGGCAGATCTTAGTTATATATGGGATTGTGAAATATATTGTTATTAAGAATAAAAGTAATTACATGAAATGTCACTGGTGGTCTGTAGGGACAAAAATTTGCTTGAATTCCTATCCCAGATACCAAGCTAGATATACTCTGATGGATTAAATTTACTAGGGAAAAATAGACTCCTTGAACTTGAAGCTTAAAAAAAGTAATGGGGTTCTCACAGTCCTCTACTGGTCCCAGTATGCCCCTGATATGAGTTGGTGAGATTCCACAGAAAGATCAAGGAAGAGTTGCAGATTTTGTGAAACCTCTATTCCTGCCAACATTTCTCTATTATCTGTTTCGTTATTCAGAGTAATCTAGTCTCTTGCTCATGTGTTTGTATTTACACAGACACACACACACACTGAATCTATTGCTAAGTTCAAAGCAATTTGGCACCTCATTCAAAGAAGGTACTGTGTTCTCTTTAAATTTCATGCTACACAAGCATTCTGTTTTCAATTTGCATGTCACAAGCAGCAGGAGAGGGACTTTTCTCATTTTTCCTGTTGATCTTTGGTATATTCATTTTCAGGAAAATACACACAGGAGTGAAATCTTAAGACAGATACTACTTATTTTACATTTTGACTGCTTCATCCAAAAGAAAAAGTTTGATCTTGAATTTATAAAATCAATGGAACAATAATCTAACTTGTATGATCTAAAGTTACAGTCAACAAACTAATGGAAAAAGACAATGATAGAACAAAAGCAAAATAAACTGAGTAAATTTAAGGACAGAGCAAGTAATTCAGTTCCAATTCAAGAACAGGATATGCTACTTGTGTTACTCTCTTGGCATTACTATTTGCAGATTTCAGATTTCACCATGAAGGGAGCAAATGATATTTTATGTACCTTAGTGTCATTATTAATTGAATTATATAATTTGATGAAGACTTTAAAACAACATTGTCTAGTAATATCCACCAAATTCATTCATGGTAATTACTCAACATCATTGCTTTCATCAATACAATTTACTCTAGAGACCATAGCTACCTCAATCTGTACTTTTAAAAAAAACAATTTCTTATTATTTTATTTTATTCTAACTGGTCTATCAACAACAGCAGACTTGAACATAAATGGCATTTGGTCAGAGACCAGAAGCCCATACTTAGTCTTAAGAAGTTTGGCCGGATGCGGTGGCTCACGCCTGTAATCCCAGCACTTTGGGAGGCCGAGACAGGCGGATCACAAGGTCAGGAGATCGAGACCATCCTGGCTAACATGGTGAAACCCCATCTCTACTAAAAATACAAAAAATTAGCTGGGCGTGGTGGCGGGCGCCTGTAGTCCCAGCTATTCGGGAGGCTGAGGCAGGAGAATGGCATGAACCCAGGAGGTGGAGCTTGCAGTGAGCTGAGATGGTGCCACTGCACTCCAGCCTGGCAGACAGAGCGAGACTCCACCTCAAAAAAAAAAAAAAAAAAAAAAAAAGAAGTTTAAGGTTCTAGGGGCTTTAGGAAAAAGGCAGAATATGAAATAAATTGTCAGTAGAAGGCTGCTCCAAAGATGAAGTATATAATTTTAAGATTGCTTTTGTTGATTGAAAATATTATTGTACTTTATTTTATAGTTTTATGTAAATACATTGTCAAAACATGTTAATCTTTGTATTCATACATAATTCTCTTACATATAATTCATACCACATGAGTTAGAAACTGTTTAGGTTTTCCTTCCATTGTGGGTTACAACTCTTCTTTTCTTGTCTAAGCTTCCAGCAAGCAACCATGATTCAATTTGAGGAATTTAAGATGAACAGAACAATTCTTGGTCCAAGGTGTAATATTACCACTGACATCAAAAGAGGCCATATAATGTTGTGGTTAAGAACATAGCCTTTGAGACAGACTGCCTAGGTTAAATACTAGTCACATTTAACACCTTGCTCACTCTTAGGACCTTTGAAAGTTAATTAAATTTTCTGTAGCTCAGTTGCATTATTTGTAAAATAGATGTTGTTTTAGAGTAGTGTCTGGCATATGGAAATGCTTTCTATGTTATTGTGAGGTAAATTTTTATTCTAACCAAGTGAGCAAATCACTTAAAATATGTCTGTTTTTTAAAAAGCAATGACTGTCATTTTTTTTTTTAATATTTCAGTAGAAGTTTCTTCCATTTTTAACATTCAAAGGAAAACCACATTTTATTAGTAGATCAAATAAGGAATGGGGCATATGTTAACTTTTTAAAAAATAATTTCAAATTTTCTTTTATATTTAGGAGGTATACAATATGCAGGTTGTTATCTGGGTATACTGTAAGGTTTGGGATATGATTGATTCCATCATCAGGTAATGAGCACAGCACTCAATAGTTGTTTTTTAAATACTTGTCCCTCTTCCACCCTCTCCCCTTTTCTAGATGTCCAGTGTCTATTACTGACATCCTTATGCCCATGGCTATGCAATGTTTAGCTGCTACATATAAGTGAGAACATGAATTATTTGGTTTTTCTGTTCCTGTGTTAACTTGCTTAGGATAACAGCCTATAACTGCATCCGTGTGGCTGCAAACAACATGATTTCATTCTATTTTTATGGCTGCATAGAATTCTATGGTGCATGTGCAGCACGTTTCCTTTATCCAATTCACTGTTGACGGGCACTTACATTGAATCCATGTCTTTGTTATTGTGAATAGTACTGCAATGAACATACAAGTGCATGTGACTATTTGGTGGAACAATTTGTTTCCTTTTTTTTTTTTTTTTTTTTTGAGACGGCGTCTCTCT